>NC_000011.10:55131134-55434164 GCF_000001405.40 Homo sapiens | reverse complement strand
GCTAGTACAAGATGATTTATGGGTCCAACATAAAATGAATAAAACTCCAATGTGCTCTTTATGAGATGTGGACAATTGTTCTGCATGCTGCTCTGCAAAGTGACTCTGCCACTTCCCCACCAAGGATTATCTTCTGTTTCTGTCAAACCTCAAATCTGGAGTGGTATGTGACCAATCTTGATGAACAGAATATAATGCAAGTGACATTGTGCCAGTTCTGGACATAACCCTTATCTGGCCAGACCAATCTACTTTCTACCACTGGGACTTCTGAGCACCATTCTCTGAGCTTGCTTTCACAACTTTCACCTGTCATCACTTCCTCATGTAAAAAGCTTGACTATTCTCTGGAGTGATCTTTTGATCCAAAGAGATAGGAAGAGGGACCCACTGAGTCTCTTACTGTCATCCCTTCCACTATGCTATAAATGTGAATTAAGTCATCCTGCATCTTACATAAAACTCAGGTATCAGCTTAATAAGACAGTGACTTCAGTCCTTGCCACACACAAAAAAGAAGAAATACCCAGCCAACAACTGCCTGAATTCTTAGCTCACAAAATTTTGAGATCAAATTAAATGGTGTTTTTTTTTTTTTTTTTTTTTTTGGAGATAGAGTCTCACTCTGTCGCCCAGGCTGGAGTGCAGTGGCACAATCTCAGCTCACTGCAAGCTCCACCTCCTGGATTCACATCATTCTCCTGCCTCAGCCTCCAGAGTAGCTGGGACTACAGGCACCCGCCACGACACCCGGCTAATTATTTTGTATTTTCTTTTTAGTAGAGACAGGGTTTCACTGTGTTAACCAGGATGGTCTCGATCTCCTGACCTCACGATCCACCTTCCTCAGCCTCCCAAAGTGAAATGGTGGTTGTTTTAACTCACAAAACTGTGGAGCCCTGCATCATTCATGAAGACAAGACCAGCATAAAAAGTGGCACTCAAGGTGTGGTGTTTCCATAACAACACTTTAAAGTGTATGACATTGGCTTTAGTGCTCAAAAATAGGGGCCTCCAGGATATTGTCAGTAAAGGCTGAAAAGACAGACGTAACTGTTCCGGAAGGTGTGAGAAAAGTGAGTCGCTATGTACTGCTGAAAAAATTTAGTGATTCTGTCACCTACACTAACGGAGAAAATAAAAAATGTACTTAAGTGAATAGGGAGATTTGGGTAAAATTTCCAAATAGAATATTGAAAGTTACAACTGTTTCTTGTAGCATTGTATCTTATAATAAGTCATGGATATATTTTATAATTACTTAAAAGATTAACTTTTACCTTTTCAGACAGAATTTACAAGAAGCATAAAATAGCCAGAACTTCCTGGTTTCAAAGAAAAAACTGGTTTTGCTTTCCAGTCTCTGCAAAGCGATAAGTACTCTAAAAGTAAGAAAGGTCATGAAAATAAATGTTATTTCAAAGTTGTGGATAAGTCACTTTGAAAGACTTCAGAAAAATTTAATAGTATGTCTCATAAGCAATTTAAACTAAACCAATATAATTCTAAGATTGTTAAGAGTATTATCTTACTGAACTAACATAGAGTTTCAGCCCAAGTCTGAGAAGGGGAAGTTTCAAAGATATTTGTGAGTATGGTGCTTGTATATTCTACAAAGTCTTTAAATAAATTACACTAAAGGCAGCACCATAGCCTTCCCTTCTGAACAGGAGAAACTATTTTGCTTACATATTCCTTCGAATCTCCGTTCTGTGCTGGGCATGTGGAGGAAATCATACTGGGAAGACCTTGTCTACACACCTCCCTATCTACATGAGGAGGGACACTCTTATTCTAACTACAGATAGCTTTTTTACACAAGAGATTTTCTATAGAGTTTCTCATCTCTGAATTTCTCAACGTGTATATTAAAGGATTCAACATGGGTGTGATAACTGTATAAAACACAGTCATGAATTTATCAATAGGAAAGGTTGAAACAGGTCTAACATATATGAAAATACAGGGAACAAAAAAGAGGACAACCACGGTTATGTGGGGGCTGCAGGTAGACAGGGCTTTACACCTCCCTTCCTGACTATAAGTTTTAAGAGAGTTTAGGATGATTCCGTAGGATATTAGTAGAATGGTGAAGATGACCATACACATTGCTCCACCATTGACAACAACAGTGAGGCCTATAAAGTAGGTATCAGTGAACGCCAGTTCCAATAATGGGTACATGTCACAGACAAAGTGGTCAATTGAAGGGATAGGTTGCCCCTCCACACCTGTGGGTGTTTCTTGTTAGGTGGAACAAGAGACTTGGAAAAGAAAAAGACACAGAGACAAAGTATAGAGAAAGAAATAAGGGGACCCATGGGACAAGCATTCAGCATACGGAGGATCCCGCCAGGCTCTGAGTTCCCCTAGTAATTACTGATGATTCTTGGGTGTTTCTCAGAGAGGGGGATGTGTCAGGGTCATAGGATAATAGTGGAGAAGAGATCAGCAGATAAACACGTGAACAAAGTTCTCTGCATCATAGACAAAGTAGAGAATTAAGTGCTGTGCTTTAGATATGCATACACATAAACATTTCAATGCCTTACAGAGCAGTATTGTTGCCCACATGTCCCACCTCCAGCCCTAAGGCAGTTTTCCCATATCTCAGTAGATGGAACATACAATCGGGTTTTATACCGAGACATTCCATTGCCCAGGGACGGGCAGGAGACAGATGCCTTCCTCTTGTCTCAACTGCAAAGAAGCATTCCTTCATCTTATACTAATCCTCAGCACAGACCCTTTACGGGTGTTGGGCTGGGGTATGGTCAGGTCTTTCCCTTCCCATGAGGCCATATTTCAGGCTATCACATGGGGAGAAACCTTGGACAATTCCTGGCTTTCCTAGGCAGAAGTCCCTGCGGCCTTCCACAGTGTTTGTGTCCCTGGGTACTTGAGATTAGGGAGTGGTGATGATTCTTAAGGAGAATGCTGCTTTCAAGCATCTGTTTAACAAAGCACATCTTGCACCGCCCTTAATCCATTTAACCCTGAGTTGACACAGCACATGTTTCAGAGAGCACGGGGTTGGGGGTAAGGTTATAGATTAACAGCATCTCAAGGCAGAAGGATTTTTCTTAGTACAGAACAAAATGGAGTCTCCTATGTCTACTTCTTTCTACACAGACACAGTAACAATCTGATCTCTCTTTCTTTTCCCCACAGTCAATGACATTGGGGCCAGAGAAAGGGAGATTGTACACAACAACAGTTTGAAACATAGAATGTACAAAACCTCCTGTCACAGCCAACACCAACAGAAGGATGCAAACCTGTCAATTCATGATGGTCAAATAGTGCAGTGGCTTACAGATGTCCACATAGTGATCACAGGCCATCATCATCAGAATGAAGATCTCAGTACCACCAAACAAGTGTTCTATAAATAGCTGGCCCATGCAAGCTCGGAAGGAAATAGTCTTTTTATCAATGAGTAACTCTACAATCAGTTTGGGAGAAATGGTAGTGGAATATGCAGCATCTATACATGACAGACAGGCAAGTCAGAAATACACTGGGGAGCCCAAGGAAGGGCTGGCAATAATAGTCACCACAATGAGCAGGTTCCCCACTGTTGTCACCAATTATGTGAGTAAAACATGACAAATAATGCATTTGCACATCAGGATCCTGAGAGAAGCCCAAGAGGACAAATTCTGTATTATTTTTATTCTGTCTCATTTAATCTTCTTTCAGGCTTGTATCAGAGATGAGAGCTCAGGAGAACAGAACCTGTAATGAAAACATGAGCAGGAATATGATTACATCCATTGTGTCACAGAAGACATCTTCATTGTTGTAGCCTCAATAGTGATTTACATGCAAAAAAAAAAAAAAAATTAGTAAGTCTCTATTGAGTTCTTCACCCAAAGAGCCTATCTTCCCTTGACAATTCTATTTCTCCTCAAAGGTTTTTAGTTTCAGCACAGGTAAATGCCTCTACCTCTAGGTTTTAATGAATATTCTATATACAAGAAGAGTTAAAATGCCAACAGCCATTCATACATTTCATAACTTCTTATTTAAAATATTTTTCTTGGTACGGAAGTCAGCTATGCTGAATAGGCAACAAGTTCTTGTTCTCAAGAAAATAACTCTCTGGTGGTGGTAATAAACTCTTTTTTGGTCTCAATTTTTTTTCCTTTTTTTTTATTATACTTTAAGTTTTAGGGTTCATGTGCACAATGTACAGGTTTGTTACATATGTAAACATGTGTCATGTTGGTGTGCTGCACCGATTAACTGGTCATTTAACATTAGGTATATCTCCTAATGCTATCCCTACCCCCTACCCCCACCCCACAACAGGCCTCTTAATAAATAAGCTGACATAGATTAAGTCCTTTGTTTTTGTATTTCTGGTATCTTTATTATATGATCTGTATAGCACCAAGAATAACACCTTCTGAAATATCTCACTCATCACTCTGGCATCCTACTGTTAGACCTTCAATCCTTCATGCCTTAAAGGATATTTAGTCTTCATAAGTCTTTCATTAAATGTGAAAACACAGGACTCTGAACTGTATGAATAGCTATGATATTATTTATCACATTGTTCCTTGTAGCAATTACTTGATCTGACTCCTTGTCCAACTTATAAGGAGCTGTGATTCTCTCCATTTTTCCTTGCTGATACCCCAGTTTTTATCACACTTACATTCAATATCTGAATTTTCAGCAATTTATTTTGAACTCAGGTAAACTAACTCATGGCTATCACCAACTACCAAATAAGCAGTGAGCATTTTTTTCTGAATTATTGGGATGAGCTTTGTAGTGAGAGAGGAGAAAATAGACACTGTAGAAAGATGTACAGAGCAGTGGGACTAGGTTTTATTCATTACACCATATAGATAGCAAGAGTATTCAAAAATAGAATCTTAGTTACCAGATTCCAAAAAGAAGGATACTCCAAGAGAAATTCCAAGTTCAGTGTAAGAAGGCATGGATTTGAGTCATTTTCCGAATGCATTTACAAGTCTGTCTCAGTTTGCTCACTTTAAAATATTGGAATTAAATTTGAGAAATTCAGAATCCTTTCTAGTCAACTATCTACAGAACTATTAGTGCATCTCTCCTTTATGGTATTCTGCTGACAATTTTTTTCTTTTTTTATAATTTATAATTAAACAAAAATTTCCAAGCTCATGATAGTCAGTGGGACATGGGGTTTCATGATTACAGTGAGTAAATAGTGACTATAAGTTTCTCACCCAGTATGTACCTATTTAAGATCCAAGACATCCTTGGAGAGAAAGCGTAGCATGTGAATAATGTGGGCACTGGAGCCACACTGCTTCAGCCACCTCTGCTTCACCATTTTATTGAAACTTTGGGCCATTTACTAAAGCTCTCTGTCCCTTACTTTCATCATTTTTAGAATGGAGTTCCCAATAGTCCTAACCCCTTGAGTTGTTGTTTTATAAAAACAAAGTAAAGTGCCTAGAATACTGGCTGGCACCTGGGAAGGGCTCAATAAACAATACCTATAATTAGTGTTTTTGAATGCTACACTGTGAACATATAATCAGAGCAAATCACGTAGATCTTTGTCAGCTTGAAAAGATTTATAGGCATAGTCCAGGAAAAAAAAAGATAAAGTACATATAATTCAGGAAAACTCTTTGGGGGCACACAATAAAATTGTACGTTTTAGAAAATGATTAAATTATGTGAGCAGTAATTTTACCTGTGATGAAATGTATCTTGATAAGAACCAAGCAGAATTATAGGAAAAAAGGTGGAACTACCATTGGAAAGAGCTCAGGAAATGAAAAGAAGGCTAAAATCAAAAGCAGACAAACTGTAGTTAACAAATGAGTTTTCACAAGCATTAAGAAGATTAATGGGATAGTTGAAGCTTGTATTCTTTCAAAATATTTTTCAGAAAGATTCATTTTAGTGAGGAAATATTGAAAGTGCAACCTCCTGTGGGTCCGTGCTGTGACTCAGGAGGCTTTTGGAGGTTGCCTTAAAAAACACAGAAAATCTTGGTTTAAAAACAAGGAAAGAAAATAAAATTCAAAAGAAAAAAAATTGTTTGTCAAAGTCTCTAGATCTGACAGTTAAGGACAACTTAATTTTGAAAGAACAGTGGGACAAGTAGAGATAAAAACCCAGACTTTCTGAATATTCGCTGCTGAGGAAAACTGCAGAATTACTGAACTTCAAATGTAGACAGGATGATTCCATTTACATAGATCTGGCAGTGGAAGAGGATGTGTGCAGAGAGAGTTTGAGCTGTCTCTAGAAGCCAGCTGTGATGAACATTCCACATGTCTCATTCACATTACCTCTTCCAGCTGATTCCAGAATTCTGTCATTATTGAGGCTATAGACTGATAGAGACGCACCTACTGAAGAACACAAGAAAATAATGTAGTCTATAGCCAATTCTGTTACTTTTTTCACACCTTACTTGATGCAAGGTTTAGTGCCTTTTCATTCTTGCATCATCAGAACTAGTTTTCAACAGGATAATTCTTTTGGCTACTTAAATGTTTACTTGTAAAAAATATGATAGGTAAACTATCCTCTATAGTTTAAGTAATTAAAATATTATATATTAAAAATTGAAAGATGGCATTACTAGGCCTTTAATGTAAACTACTAAGTTATCATTTTTAGAGAAAAACCATGATTTAACATAGTTGTCTAAGAACATGAAATTTTCAAAAGATAAAATTCCATAATAACAAAAAACTTCCATAATATCATATTTTACACAGTTTTATAAATCTATTTAAATTACAGTAGACTAGGTACTTTCCTCAGCATATTTATCTATGGGTATGTTTGCTGGGATAATTTTTAGATTCTTAAGTAAAAACCCATATTACGCTTCCAGAACGTAACAGACACTTGTTCCTTCATACTCTAACACACTTGACATGATCTGCAATTTTAAACTCTCTAATCAAATATATCTGAAAGTAATTGTACACTTTTACTAATGTATCATATAAAAATAACTTTCCATAAACTAAGCTTATTATTATAAATCTATTGGTTTACTATACATGTAATATGGGACATGTTTTTCTTCTTATTTGGCAAACGGAAAAAGAAAAAAATAGGCTATATATTAAAACCAAATATACATTCCATATTCTGAAAAATTTTCATGCTTGCTAGCTTATCTTTCCCAGTTAGAATTCCTTCAAGAAAATCATATAGATTTAAGACATTAGCTACATTTCAACATATCACAGGAATTTTCAATGAATATCTGTTTTCAGTGGCTTCAAATACTCACATCGTGGTCCAGAAAAGCAATGCTTCTCTCACTGAACGTTATTGTAGATACCTCATGCAACTATGTGTGATCATAAAACACATGAAATGGATGGCTGATCCACGCATATGGAATTAGTTCCTAGTGGCTACAGTTTCCACAGTTCCACATAGACTTCTCATTATCTCAGTTGTTAGAGAAGTATGGCACTATCCAAAGCAGATGACCAAAATATAAAGATGCTTAAACATAATATAGAAAGGTTGTTACAGATATTCTTACCTGCTGGAAAATTTCTTCATAGAAAAATAAAGATACTATCTTTGCATGACTATGTAAACCTTTACTTATTAGTGGAAATTAACCTGCACAAGCCCCTTATTTTATGACACAAATGAACAGAAAGTTAACAAAACTAAAATTTGTTATGTGAAAGTTTCCTCGATTATAGTGAAACAACTGTAAGTACTTTACTGTGACTCAGGATTTATGATAACATTCATGTGCCCAGCTATTAAGCTTTGTACCTAACAAGGAAAATGCTGAAATTTAACTTCATGGAAAAACCAATGATAGAGCTTTCTCACAGGCAGAAGCCAAACTCTTTAGTCTCTCAGATATTCAAATGTTATTCAAATAGCATACCCCTAAGTCCACTTTCTTCCTAATTAAAAACATGTCCCTATATCTCCTCTACCTCATCCCAGTAAATTGAGAACTTTCACAATTTTTTACAAGAAATGGAGGCTATGACAAAAAAGCATCACATCTAGAGGACTTGATACCAACTGAAGATATACTCTACCTTGGGCTTCTGCCCAAGGTAGAAGAGATAACTCTTCAGATATCTCTTTGGTTTTTCTATGAGGAAAATAGTCCATTTATGTGTGTAGACACAATCTATAACTTTTACATCATCATTATTTAAATAAAAGAGACAATAAGGTCATTACAGATTAGTTAATTTGAATATTTTGAATAAACTCAAATGATGTAGTCTCTCTGAACACTTTCTTTTCCCCTTAGAAAATCTCTAGAGGAAAAACATGTGGGTCTCACCAAGAACAGTAGATAAATGCCAAGTAATGTGAAAAGCCTATAATGTGAAAAATATATTCTAAAGTAACTTGAACAATAAATTATGAGTTTCAGATTATGAAATACTGAGGTAAGATAGGTAATATTTAAGCCAGAATGAAGGGGGGAACCAGCCCCAGCTTCTCTTCTCTAATCATATTCCCAGCAAGAAGGGCCTTATCCCTCCTGTTAGAAAGTCCATGCCCAAGAAGTCCTGAGGCTCAGAGGCAGAGAGCCTAAGAATGGAAGTTGATATTCTGATTCTTGGAAAAATAGATCATCTTAGTTCTGCAGTTTTAGGTTAGAGTACAGGCTTTGATCAAGGCCTGAATCTATGTCAGAATCTATGTCCATTAATTCAATCCTTTAATTTTATGTCAATATAAATTAAATAACTGTTTCTACAATAAATAAATTTTATTTGCCAACAAGAGAGCAGTGATTAATGGCTGCCTTTGTTATTTCCATGACTTGGCTTATCATTGGGACCATTGAACACCTTCATCTCATCATATGTTTAGTTAAATTTTGGATCTTCTGTGTCATAAAAGTCATAGATAAGGGGTCCCAGGGTCCCATAAATACTTACCTGAACCAGCTAAGGTATTTTTTATGTAATGGGCTCCACTAAAAGTTTGTCATTTTCAATTTACCTAATAAATGGATTAAATTCATCTACCCAAAATGTAATATGTATTACTGTTAAAATTTGATGAGCCTGTCTGTAAGTGCTGTGCCCTCTTACTGGCAAGTGGTAAAAGATGTGCAAGCATATTTTTAGTTCTGAAAACTATCAGATATGATCAAAGATACTGTGGATTAAACTAAGACTCCAAAATTGAGAACTAATATAAAACTAAACCATAATTCTCTATGTCCCTTCTAGCTGAATTTAAATAACTACTCTGCTTTCCACTTTCCTGAATGACACAAAAGTGTTTGTTGTATCAGATAATGCCTACAACAGCCCATAATCTGAATTTATTATCTCTAATAATAAAAAAATTCATCAAAAATATCAACTAATGTAGAAATTGCAAAAAAAGAAAGAGCCTTAGTTCATAGTAATTCTCTGCCATCCATACCTATTACTAAACTAGAAAGTTAAATGTACATAAAATATGTATTTATTTTTTTGAAAGGAGAAATGCGGCTGGGCATGGTGGCTCACGCCTGTAATCCCAGTACTTTGGGAGGCAAAGGCAGGCAGTCACCTGAGGTCAGGAGTTCGAGACCAGACTGGCCAACATGGTAAAACCTCGTCTCTACTAAAAATACCAACAATTAGCTGGGCTTAGTGGCAGGCGCCTATAATCCCAGCTCCTCAGGAGGCTGAGACAGGAGAATCGCTTGAAACTGTGAGGTGGAGATTGCAGTGAGCCGAGATCATTCCATTGCACTTCAGCCTGGGCAACAAGAGTGAAACTCCGTCGCAAAAACAAACAAACAAAAAAAGAAATGCATATGTATTACTCTCTTCTCACATTGCTATAAGGAAATACCAAGCTCGTTAATTTATAAATAAAAGAGGTTGAATTGACTCACAGTTCCGCATGATTGGAAGGCTTCAGGTAACTTACAATCATGTCTCTTCACAGGGCGGCAGGAGAGAGAATAAGTGCCAGCAGGGGAAATGTCAGACACTTATAAAACCATCAGGACTCACGAGAACTCACTCATGATCATGAGAACAGCATGGGGGATACCATTCCCATGATTCAATTACCTCCCACCTGGTCCCTCCATGACACATAGGAATTATGGGTATTACAATTAAAGATGAGATTTGGGTGGGGACACAGCCAAACCATATCAGCATGTTATGTAGTCCCAGCTATTTTTAAGATTGAGGTGGGAGAATCCCTTGATCCCAGGAGTTTTGAGTCCAAGCTTGCTGTCCAGCTTGAGTCAGCAATACCCTGTCACAAAAAAGAAAAAGAAAGCTAGAGAGCAAAACCCCACATTTACAGTCTCCTTTCTCTAAAAGTGAAATAATTCTAAAAGCCGTAAATGAAAGCCTGAAAAGCTGTGTGAAACTTTCTGTATATGCTTTACCCTGAGTGATAACATGTAAAATTCAAGGTCTACCAAGGAAAAGAGTCCTTTATAAACAACAAGGCTTTCACTTGAGACCACAGAAGGATTTACTCTTGGAGTAGGAATGCACAGACATTGGGGCAGTTCTCAAAGGAACTGAAGTCCAGCTTGCATCATCTAATTTCTTGATTGAATTAAGACTATCTGGGATTTTTTTACTTCTCCAATCCCTACTCCTCAGTAGAAACACAGGAAATTCTCTCTTAAAGAAACAAAAACATCCAAAAAATTCATGAATTGCCACTTTTCATATGCAAAATCGGGCACTCAAAAAAAGTAACAAAGTATAGAAGATATAGCCTTATTGAAAGGCAAGTGCAATAAAAACAAACATAGATGATCCAGATAATGAAGAATAATTATTTTTAAATAAGCTTAGTGTGTACAAATATTAAAGCACAAGATAGATCATAAAATAAACCAAGTAAATTGGAAAACTAAAATATAACAAAAACACAATGGTTGGATTTAACAGCAAATTAGAGACAAAAAATTGGAGAGTTAGTAAACTGCAACAAATATTAGAAGAAAATATGCAGACCAAAGCAGAAAGCAAAAAAAGCAAATGCGCAAAACAATATAAAAGAGATATAAAGAACACAGTGCAAAACTCTGGCATACTTTTAATTTAATTACAATTCCAGGAACAGGAGAGAAAGAGAATCAGGTAGGCAAAATATTAGAGGAGATACAGCTGAAAATTATCTAAAACTGCTGAAAGATATTAAACTATGAATTCATAAATTGTTAAGTTTCATGAAAACTGAATTTTAAAAAGAAAAATTTGTTTTAAAAGGATAAAAAGAAAATGGACAGCAGAATAAAAACAAAATATGGACAAAAATGTTAAGAACATACTGCATTCAAGAAAATAATAATAAGCCCAGGCATGGTGGCCCATGCCTGTAATCTCAGCACTTGGGAGGCCAGGAGTTTGAGACCAGACTGGCCAATATTGTGAAGTCTAGTCTCTACTAAAAATACAAAATTTAGCCAGGTGTGGTGGCAGGTGCCTGTAATCCCAGCTATTCAGGAGGCTGAGGCAGGTGAAATGCTTGAACCTGGGAGGCAGAGGTTACAGTGAGTCAAGATGGTGCCATTGCATTCCAGGGTGGGTGACAGAGCAAGACTCTGCCAAAAAAAAAAAAAAAAGAAGAAAGAAGAAGGAAGGAAGGAAGGGAGGGATGGGACCACCCCTCATATCGTCTTATGCCCAATTTCTGCCTCCAAAGAAAGAAGTAAAAACTAAAAGGCTAAAATGAAATCCACAGGCAGACAGCCTGGCATCGCACCCTGGGCCTGGTAGTTAAAGATCGACCTCTGACCTAATCAGTTATGTTATCTATAGATTACGGACATTGTATAGAAATGCACTGTGAAAATCCCTATCATGTTTTGTTCCGATCTAATTACCGATGCATGCAGCCCCCAGTCACGTACCCCCTGCTTGCTCAATTAATCAAGACCCCCTCACATGCACCCCCCTTAGAGTTGTGAGCCCTTAAAAGGGACAGGAATTGCTCACTTGGGGAGCTCGGCTCTTGAGACAGTAGTCTTGCCGATGCCTCCGGCCGAATAAACACCTTCCTTCTTTAACTCGGTGTCTGAGGACTTTTGTCTGTGGCTCGTCCTGCTACAGAAGGAAGGAAGGAAGGAAGGAAGGAAGGAAGGAAGGAAGGAAGGAACGAAGGAAGGAATGAAGGAAGAAGGGAAGGAAGGAAGAGACAATAATAAGACTGACAAACCGCTTCTTAAAAGATGCAGTGAAAACCAAAAGAAAAAGGAAATACTTCTTCACAGTGATAAATGAATATAAATGTCAACATAGAATCCATTTAAAATCTCACAGAAGTGAATGTAAAATGCAGTGTTCCGACTAATTAAAAAAAGTATTTCGAGATTCTAGAACCAGCCACAAACTATAGAATAAGAGCTCTGAAGAATGATGTTCATAAAGGAGTAAAAAGCTCTGAAATTAAAAAAATGAAATGCAGGAAATAAGGAAGACTAACTGAAAGAAGAAATATAGGAATAAATAAAATGAATATTATCATAGGTAACATTAATAAACATGAAACCAAGAGAAAAGTAATGGATTTAAATTCAATACATAATTAATTTTATCTATTTAAAAATAGAACACAATGGTAAGAGCTTTATAAGAGAAACATCTTAAATAACAGGGTAAAAATGTGAAAATAAAATAATAGAACAAACTGCATAAACTCTGACCAAAACAACACTATACCTATGTTAATATCAGACAAAACTAGACTTCAAGGCAAGAAATATTGCCAGAAATAAATTTGTATAATGACAAAAGATTAGTAACATGATGATAAAGTTATAAATTGGTGTGCACCCAAAAGCACAACTTTATAAGTTGTTTTTTAAAAATAGACTGACCTAAAGGGAGAAATAGGCAAATCAGCAATAATACAGGAAGATTTTAGCACAACTCTAAGTGCTAGAATATACACACACAAAAATTTATAAAGATATTTAAAATTTAAACAAAACCATTAATAAATCTGACCCATTGACATGAGAGATCATCACATGCAACAGCTGCAAAATACACATTCTTTTCAGGAGCATGTGAAATATTTTCAAAAATCAATCATATACTTGTTCATAAAGCAACTCTCAATGAATTTCAAATAATCCTAATAATAAAATATATCACTAAACATCAAGAAAATCAGCTAGAAAATAAAAAAACTAAAATTAGCCAGAAATTTTCTATGTCTCAAAATTAATTAAATCACTTCTAAATAATCCATTAGTAAAAATAAATCACAGAAGTTAAAAATTCTTTGAGCCTAATAATAATGAAAATACAACCTATCAAATCTTGTGAGACTCAGCTAAAATATTACTTGTGTTTGCTAGAAAATAATAAAGACTGAAAATCAGTGCACTAAATATCTATTCAAGAAATCATTTCACTTAGCATAATGTCCTCTGGGTACATCTGTGTTATCACATATGATATAGAAATATCACACTGTACTCCACAAATACATACAATTACTGTTTATCAATTAAAAACAAAGAGGTTATTAAGTCTTCCAGGTTAATTAATGTTGTCAAAATAACAGAATGTTCTTTTGAAGTGTTGAATAATATTTTATTATGTAATATTATTGCATTAAATATACAAATACAAAGGGGAAAAGGTATAAATGTTGGTTAAAGTAATGAGAGGAGGGGCCAGTTGGGCTTCCTGGGTTGAGTAGGGGTTCAGAAAGCTGTGAAACTCACTCTTTTCCTGAGTCAGGACTTTTTTCAGTCCTGGATGAATAATACTGAAGATATATGTTTAAAATATTCCTAACACCCAGATTTGTGCATGTGTTTTCTTCCCCCTAGAAAGCTATAAACAGCGAAAATTTTGCTTTAAGTTTCCGTGTGTCCTTTTTTCTTCTCTCCCTTCCCCTTCCCCCGAAACTAAAGTAAAAGAAATGTTAATTGCCCATTTTTCTGTGACCAGTGGACCTTATCTCTACTCCCAATTCCAATTCCTTGTAAACATATTTTGTAAAGTCCTGTGAGATCCTGTCTCCTTTGCCATGCCGCTACAAGGTCATAAAGTAGATAAAACCTAAGTTGCAATTCTGGTTTTCCTCAAAATCTAGAAATGTCACAAAATAATTTACTGCCTTTGTTTCTCACTCTGGTAACATCTTCCCACCACATGTATCTCCCATCTTAAAGAGTTTAAAAGGCAATCACCCAAAACCAAGAATGGCTACCCATTCAGGACCCCTTCCATGCTGTGGAAGCTTTGTATTTTCACTCTGCCCAATAAAGCCAACAGGTTTTTCTCTCTATGGGTCCCTATCTCTATCACTCACCGCGGGCAGCCACCACAATTCTTTGGTGTGGCTAAGGCAAAGACCTTTGGTATTACAGTAATACTGGTGATCTAAGGTACAGCATCAGCATAATGTCTGTAGTTAATAATACCATATATTACGTGAGTATATGTGTGCATGTGCACATTAGATAGATACATGATAGAGATAGATAGATAGATAGATAGATAGATAGATAGATAGATAGATGATAGATGTCACTTTACCTTTATTCATTCATCTGTTGATGGACACCTAAGTTGTTTCCATATCTTGGTGATTATGAATAATGCTGCAGCATACATGGGAGTGCAGGTATCTCTTCAAGATACTAATTCATTTTCTTTTGATACATACCAACTAGTGGGATTGCTAGATCATATGGTAGTATTAACCTCCTTAGCATCTTCTATAATGGCTGTATCAATTTACATTCCCATCAACTATGTAGAAGGGTTCCCTTTTCTCCACACTGAAGGTAAAGACTACATGATCTCAATTAAATGTGGAATCTAAAAAAAAAAAAGTCAAACTCATAAGAGTAGAGAGTAGAATGGTGATTGCTAGGGACTGTGGGGAGGGAGAAATGAGGAGATGTTGGTCAAACAGGACAAAGTTTCAGTTATGCAGAATGAATAATTTCTGGAGAGCTAAGTTACAGCATAGAGACTGTACTTGGTAATACCATACTGTACACTTGAAGTTTGCTAAGAAAATACATCTTAAATATTCTCACCACACACAAAAGATAACTATGTGATGTAATGAACATGTTGATTTTAGTAATCATTTCACAATGTATACATTTAACAAAACATCACATTGCATATCTTAAATATATATTATACATTTTTGTCAAATACACTTCAATAAAGTTATAGAAAATAAAAAACAAACTATGTTTTAAAGATGACAACAACAAAAGGAGTAACCAATCTGCATGGAATGACAAAAACAGACAAAATTCTGCAAATGCTGCACTGTCCCCAGAAGGTGGTCTGGAAGCACTGGAGTGAAGGAAAAGCCTCCCAAGGGCAGTATTTTGATCAGTCAGTCTGGTTTTCCACTGTATGTGGAAGGAATAATAACCATACTTATGGATCTACGCTGAAAAGGGATACTGTCTCACAGATTGGATGAGCTAATGAGGAAATTGGAAATTTAAAAATGGAAAAATGATGACAAAGTAGTTGGAAGAACCACATGTGGATGAATCTCTCAAAATGAACACCAAATACTACAATGTTAGTTTCTGACATAAATACCTAACAAAAAGAAACTACTGCAGAGGAAGCCTTCAGGAATCTCATAAACATGAACTGCACTTTGGATGTCAGTCAGTCTTTTTCCCAGTTACCTTTGCAGTCACTGTGACAGAGATGAGTACTCTACAAAACCTCAGGGTCTAAAATGCCATCAGCAATGTCCATCATTGGCTTCTTAACATGGTACAAATAACAAGATAAGCCAGCCAACAACCCTAGGACAGCTTACTTCACTGCAAGTCCTCCGTATGGAGAAGACAGCATTTTGTCATCATACATTCTGGTTATATATTTGTCCTAGCACTTGCCTTATTTATTATTCATGGAGTAGAATCCATTATTGGTTGCTATGGTATCTCATTTATTCTCTATCCAGAAGAAACATTTCTAGTAAATAAAGTAAAACATATCACTCACCACAATAGAATTTACTGGTATAACCACATTTCTCATCACCCAGAAGCTGAACAAATGGGACATTGGAATGGCCTCCTAAAGGGTGAGTAACAATGCCAGCTGGACAATCCTTACCTGAGAAATTGAAATGCTCTTTCCCATATGTTTGACACAGAGTATGTGCTCAGCAAATTTTAGTCATCATATACCCATGCCACATATATTCTGAGAAATTATCCCAATGCTAATAAACATTGCCCCATGCAGCCATCTACTTTGCCTTTTTTGTTCCAATATCCACAAGATCCATTTCCACACTTTCCTCCAATTCTTGTCTGTGCATATTATTTAGAAGCTGCAATTTGCTAATCAAATGAAATATTTCCTTCTACAACAAGGCCATATTTCCCACTTGCACTCTAGTGATACCTGAACCTAAATACTGATCTAGATGCAAAAAGGGAATTCTCTGGAAAAGGACATGAGGCCTTTGGTGAGGTGGCTTTCTACAGCTTCTACTGATATTGAAAGGGCTAATATCTGAAGGTTGTCTACTAACAGCATGCCCAGCAACTGGAAAAATATATCTTTCTTTCATAAAGAGAGGGCAAAGAAGTACATTCTTATACCTATCAGAGTCCACCTCTTAGGTCACTTGAATCCATTTCTTGATATACACATGATAACAGCTCCTTCAGGATTCTCTTCCTGGGGTGAAATTAGAAGAGAAAGGTTAAGGGACAAATGACATCTCTTGCCACCGTGGCCGATCATAGAGTTGCAACTGCCATTTACCATCTTATTCCTTCATTGTCAATTCTATTTCTCCCACTTCACCTTTTACTAGCACCGCTACTGATCTTATGACTTACTTAAAGGTGTGGCTTAGACCTTCATCCTCAAAGTGACTCATCCCTGTTCACTATACTCATTCAGAACTGGATTCTTTTTATTTTTTTACTTTTTGGACTTTCTCACTTACTATCACAATTAGAAAAGGGCATGACAGGATGTGCCCATGTCAGTCACCTGGAAGACGAATATATCATTGCCTGCTACAATTGTGTTATAACACCTCCATTCCACATCATAATCAGGTCAATTACTTCTGCCACAGTTTTTAAAAGAACCTTTTCTCAATGGCTACAGAGAGCAACCCTTATTGTGACAGGAGAGCGATATTAAATCCAACATGTGACACACCAGATACAATGAACAAACAATAGAGCTCCTTCATTAAATAATTAATCAATTTTATCCACTTACCATGAAGCTTTATATAACATTGAATTTTACACTTATGTCAGCCAACAATAAATATCCTATTTCAAAATAGTTTGATTTTTCTGTCATTTGTAACAAAAACATCTTAAATAAAACATCCTTAATGTAAATATGTATAGGAAACTGAAGTAATATATAAATCCTACTGTTTATTTACATATGTATATATTTGAAACAGTACCACATTGTTTTATTGTTATAACCTTATAATCTGTCTTATCCAGAATAGCTCATTATTCTTTCAAAATTTAATTGCGATTTCCATCTCTTTATGCTTTGAGATGAACTTTTAGAATCAAAGGAAAAACATGAATAGTTCAGTTTCATGTAGAAAAAAAGGCAAAATATGTTTATTATTTTCCCCATGGATAATTGATCAGTCTAGCCAAAATACAGAGTTTGGACTAATCAGGCAAGTTCCTTGGAACAAAATGGTCCATGATCATCAGAGATATTTTAGAAACCTTATCAAATATACCATATATTTCACATCCTAGTAACACAAAAGAAATGACAATGACTCTTTTTTAAAAAGGAATAGAAAGCCTTTGTCCCAGGATTTTCATGTGGCCACTTGGATATATGAGATGAATGATGTATAATGATGGGAAGAATAGAGACATACTCCATTACATCAAGCAAAGCCAGTAATATGATAAATACTAAGGCACTATAACAATAGCAGAATCACTGCTTTAAATAGCCTTAAAGAGTGCTTGTTAGGGCCCAGAGCCACAACTGAACTTGTAGGGTTATTACAAAGGACCAGTAGTCATAGCTCCTAGTGATGTCAAATGGATTTATCTTTATTAAACTTTTAATGACACTTTGAGATTCACTTAGCCTGTGATCCAAGCCATAGAAGAAAACACCATCAGGCTATTGAAACAAGTCATGGCCTACCAATTTGATTCCCCAAATCTCCTGGAATCAAAGCACAAATGTTATTATGGTCAGTGGGCATAAGTGAGCTAAGAAGTCATCACATAGGCTGGGCACAGTGGCCCACACCTGTAATCGACAGCACTTTGGTAAGCCATGGTGGGCAGATGCCTGAAGTCAGGAGTTAAAAGACCAGCCTGACCAACATGGTGAAACCTCTTCTCTACTAAAATTACAAAAATTAGCTGGGCATGGTGGTGCATGTCTATAATTTCAGTTACTCAGGAGGCTGAGGGAGGAGAATACCTTGAATCCGGGAGGTGGAGGTTGCAATGAACCAAGATGGTGCCACTGCACTCCAGCCTGGGTGACAGAGTGAGACTCTGTCTCAAAAACAAACAGACAAAAAGAAGTACCTCACATGCACATATTACATTCCTTACAAACCACATAATAATGGCTTAATCAAAAATATAAATTGGGTTTATATAGGTAATAGTTACACAGAAAAACCATGCCAGATGGGAAAGGAACACACAGATGGGTGATAATGCCTAGAATGGACATGACTATTCTTTCCTCAAGACATTGTTTTGTTTCAAGAAAATAAAACTCCTGTTTCTCTCATATGTGACATGAAGTCAGCTAATGCTAGGAAAGGACAATGAACCCCTTCTCACTTGAATGGGAGAACTAAACTGAAGTTATTTAATGCTCTGTCTGATAATTGTATTATTTGTTTTGAAATGTACAATGCAGTAAATTCTTCTGTTGATACAACTGCATAAGAACAAATTAGAACTATAAAAAGATGAAGATGATAAAAGATAAAGAAAGAAAATGAGTAGCCCAATTGGTAAAGAATATCTAAAAGGGCTATCGTATAATCTGTAATTCTGGGATGTAGACATTATTGCTGAGACATGGAACTTCTTGAGTTTCAACAGAAAGCTGAAACATTTACTACATCATTCTATTATAGCAGAAATTGAACATCAAACTCTTTTCCAACACCCCTTGCACTAGCAAATTGATGGAATTTCTTCTCACTCTTTCAATCTTTTACCTCTTTTGTGTTGAGGGGAGAGCTAAATGTAGTCTCAACCTGCCTTATGCAATTCAGTAATAAGCTCAGTACTGGAGGGATGAGATAGGTCATAGACAGCCGAACTGTATTATAAGAAATGCAAAAAAAAAAGTTCCTCAGGCAGAAAAACACAATATTACATAAAAATTATAATTTATAGAAAAGAATTAAGAAAGTAGAGATAATGCATAGGGATTAAATAAAGATTCTTTTTCTTTCTTTTTTAGTCATTTTTATAAAAATTGTTCAAACAAAATTAATAAACAATATATTCAGAAGTTAATAACATGCAGCAGTAAAACATATAAAACAATTTCAAAGTGCTGTTAGATGTTAAGTAGAATGACACTTTCAAAAGATTTTTCATTTTTATTGAGAAACTGAGTCCTGCCAACAGCCAGCTTGGAAGTGGATCCTTCCTCAGCCAAGCCTTCATATGAGACTATAGCCCCAACCAGACGATGATTACAGATTTGTAAGAGACCCTGAAGCACTGGAATCTGCTAAGCCATCCTTAGTTTCCTGACCTTCAAAAATTGAGACATAATAAGTACATAGCATATCCAGTCGAAGTTTTAGAGTAACTTTTATATGGTAATAAACAGCTCATATATCTAGAAAATCTTCAAATATTTGGAATCTTGGCAATAATTTTTATAACCTATGAATCAAAGTAAAAGCTATAATAGAAATAAGCAAATATTTAGAATTCAACACTAAAACATATCAAAATGTGTGAGATGTAATTAAAATAGTACTGAGAGAAAAAGTTATAGCTATGTGTCATATAACTATAAATAGCTATAAGTGTTATATTAAAAGTGTTATATTATATATATGTATGTGTGTTATAGATTAAAAATAAATGTTTTAAAGCATCCAGCTGAGCTTTCACCTTAAGAAGAGTCAATTAAGGTCAAGTTAAATAAAAGAAAGGACATGATAAATATAAGATCAAAAATCAATAAAATAGGAAACATTAGAGAAAATCAAAACAGTCAAAAGTTGTTACTTTTATAATAAAATTGATAAACTTCTAGAAAGAATGATCAAGAAAGAGAAAAGAAATAGAAATTCAAGTTACCAACATCAGAAATTTTAAACAATCATCTTCAAATAGATCCTTTAGACTTTAAAGTGATAGAAAAGAATTGTTATGAAAAACATTATTTTAATTAATTTGACAGCTTAGATAAAAGGGTAAAATGTGGGGAAAACCTGACCTTCTGAAAATGACCCCAAAACAAATTGAAAAGTTAAACGCTCCTCTATCCCTCAAAGTAATGAACTATTCTTGTTTGTAGATAACAGGATAGTGTCTCATAAAACACTAAAGAATCTACAGAGATGACAAGAAATAAGTGGTAGATTTATCATGTTTATAGGACTCAAATGCCAAATGAAAAAATCAACTGCATTTATAAATACTAACAGCAATAACGATTGAAGTTTTTTTAATTAAAAACCTGTGAAATCATCTGGACACAAAAATAACTAGGACCAGATGAGTGTGATCCTACAATAATAACTACAAAATTTTTCAAACATAAATATTTAAAACGCCAAATAGATGTATGTATTCAAGAATTAGGAAACCCACTATTGTTAAGATGTTAATTCAGTCCAAGATGATTTATAGATGCAACTCAGTCTGAATAAAACTTCCAACATGTGCCTTTTCAGATGTAGAAAATTGTTCTGCACATTGCTCTGCAAAGTGACTTTGCCGCTTCCCCATCAAGGGCTATCATCTGTTTCTGTAACATTTCAAATCTGAGATGGTCATGTGACCACTCTGAACAACAGAAGATGTTGCAACTGACATTGTGCCAGTTTTGGACATAGCCCTTAATTGGCCTGACGTCTTCTACTTTCTAACCTGTGGATCTCTTAGTGCCATGTAAAAAGCCTGACTATCCTGTTGGAGAGACCTTGTGGTCCTTCATCTAAATGGACCAGAGGAAGTACTCAGTGGATCTCTTCCTGTCATCACTTAAAAGTTATTAGAAATACAAAGTAAGCTTCCCTGGACCCTACAGATGACCCAGCTATCAGCTGAATAACACTGAGTGACTTCAGTCCATGCCACATGAAGCAGAAGAAATACCCAGCCAGCAACTGCCTGAATTCCTAGCCCATAAAATTTAAAGTTAAAATAAAATGGTGATTGTTTTAAGTCACAAAAACTGTGGAGTCTTGTACAATGCAGGAAGAGATGACCAGAATAAAATTGGCACCTGTAAGTGTGGTGTTTCCATAACAACGATCCAAAACATGTAGCACAGACTTTAATACCAGAAGCTACATGACACCTAGAAGGGTCTCCTGGACAGTGTAAGTAAGTACATGCTGAAAAGACAGAAGTAAATAGGAGAAAAAAGAAAAAAAATGACTCCTTATCTAGTGCCAGAAAGGAAGGTTTGGTGATATTGCTACCTCTAGTAATGTAGAAAACAGACAGTGTACTTAAGTCAACAGGTGGATTCAGTTAAAATTTTCAAGTGCAATATTGAAAGTTCAACCTGTTTCTTGTGACACTGTGTAATATGATAAGGCATAGATAAAAATATGAGTTAAAAGAATAACTTGAATTTTCAGGCAAAATGTACAAGAAAAATGAGCCAAAACGTGCCAGTTTCAAAAATAAAACTGGTTTCCCTTTCCAGTCTCTCCAAAGATCTAAAGACTCAATATAAGCAATGTCACCTAGCTTCTGATATTAAAGCCAATGCCACATGCTTTAAACGTCAGAATAAATGTCATCTTAAAGTCGTCAATGAAAGCTTCTTTGAGACTTCAGAAAGATTTTTAAATGTGTCTCATAAACCCTACCACTTAAACAAAAATAATTCTAAGGCTCTTATGGGAATTATCCCACTGCACACACACAGACTTTCAGCTCAAACCCAAGAAGAGTCAGTTGCAAATATATCTGTGAATATGCCTCTTTTATAATGTTGTAAATGCCAATTAAAAAACACAGATATATTACAACGTTTTTAAGGAAATTGCACTGAAGGAAGCACCTTAGCCTTTCCTTGTGAACACAAGTGTCTGTTTTTGGTTATCTACTCCTCTCTTCCTTGTTTGCTGAGAATGTGAAAGAAAAACACTATCTCTAGTTTATAGATGTGAAAATAGAGAAGAACCAGAATAAAAGAGCTGTACATTTGAAATTACACCCAAAGAGCTTTGTCCACATTCACTATGGATATACAATTTGAGATCTTGGATGTCAAATTGAGGCCCTGATGGGACTACGTGTTAACTGTGCTGGGAGCTCCTAAATCCTGCTTTCCCAATCTAGGATCCCTGAATTGCCATTACACATCTGACAATCTCACTCATAGGCCATTACCGCCAGAAGGAAGGCCTCAGCACCACCAAATGGGTGCTCTTTAAAGAGCTGGCCCATGCAAGCTAGGAAGGAAATAGTGTTTTTTTAATCACAGAGCCACCTCCCAGCAGGGGTTGACAGACACTTTACACAGGAGAGCTCCAGTTGGCATCTGCCAGGTGCCCCCCTGGATGGAAGCTTCCATAGCAAGGAACAGGCAGCAATCTTTGCTGTTCTGCAGCCTCTGCTGGTGATACTCAGGCAAACAGAGTCTGGAGTGGACCTCCAGAAAACTGCAGCAGGCCTGCAGAAGAGGAGCCTGTTAGAAGGAAAACTAACAAAGAGAAAGGAATAGCATAATATCAACAAAAAGGACATCCACACAGAAACCCCAGAAACCTGGATGGAGAATAAGTTTGACGAATTGACAGAAGTAGGCTTCAGAATGTGAGTAATAATAATCTCCTTCAAGCTAAAAGAGTATGTTGTAACCCAACGCAAGGAAGCTATGAACCTTGAAAAAAGGTTAGAGGAATTGCTAACTAGTATAACCAGTTTAGAGAAGAACACAAATGACCTGATGGAGCTGAAAAATAAAGCAAGAGAACTTCATGAAGCATACACAAGTATCAATAGCTGAATCAAACAACCAGAAGAAAGGATATCAGAGACTGAAGATCAACTTAATGAAATAAAGTGTGAAGACAAGATTAGAGAAAAAAGAATGAAAAGAAATGAACAAAGACTCCAAGAAACTGGGGACTATGTGAAAAGACCAAACCTATGTTTTATTGGTGTACTGAAAGTGACAAGGATAATGGAACCAAGTTCCATTATCTAAGAGATATTGGATATTATCTAAGAGAACTTCCCCAACATAGCAAGACAGGCCAATATTGAAATTCAGGAAATAGAGAGAACACCACAAAGATACTCCTCAACAAGAGCAACCTTAAGACACATAATCGTCAGATTCAGCAAGGTTGAAATGAAAGAAAAGATGTTAAGGGTAGCGAGAAAGAAAGGTCAGGTTATCCACAAACGGAAGCCTATCAGACTAACAGCAGATCTCTCAGCAGAAACCCTACAGCCCAGAAGAAAGTGGAGGCCAATATTCAGCATTCTTAAAGAAAAGAGAATTTCATATCCAGCCAAACTAAGCTTCATAAGTGAAGAGGAAATAAAATCCTTTACAGAAAAGCAAATGCTGAGAGACTCTTTACCACCAGGCCTGCCTTCCAAGAGCTCCTGAAGGAAGCACTAAACATGGAAAGGAAAACCCGGTACCAGCCATTGCAAAAACAAACCAAAATGTAAAGACCATGGACATTAGGAAGAAACTGCCTCAACTGATGGGCAAAATAATCAGCTAGCATCATAATGACAGGATCAAATTCAAACATAACAATATTAACCTTAAATGTAAATGGGCTAAATGCCCCAATTAAAAGACACAGACTTGAAATTGGATAGAGTCATGACCCATCAGTGTGCTGTATTCAGGAGACCCACCTCATGTGCAAAGGCACACATAGGCTCAAAATAAAGAAATGAAGGAATATTTACCAAGCAAATGGAAAGCAAAATAAAGCAGGGGTTGCAATCCGAGTGTCTGATAAAACAGAATTTAAATCAACAATGAGCAAAAAAGACAAAGAAGGCCATTACATAATTGTAAAGGGATCAATGCAATAAGAAGAGCTAACTATCCTAAATATATATGCATCCAATACAGGAGCACCCAGATTCATAAAGCAAGTTCTTAGAGAACTACAAAGAGACTTAGACTCCCACGCAATAATAATGGGAGACTTTAACACCCCATTGACAATATTAGACAGATAAACGAGACAAAAAAATAACAAGGATATTGAGGACTTGAACTCAGCTCTGGACCAAGCAGACCTAATAGACATCTACAGAACTCTTCACCCCAAATCAATAGAATATGCATTCTTCTCAGCACCACACCACAATTACTGTAAAACTGACCACATAATTGGAAGTAAAACACTCCTCAGCAAATGCAAAAAATGGAAATTATAACAGTGTCTCAGACAGCAGAGCAATCAAATTGGAATCCAGGATTAAGAAATTCATTCAAAATCACACAACTACGTGAAAACTGAACCACCTGCTTCTTATTGACTACTGGGTAAATCACAAAATTAAGACAGAAATGAACAAGTTCTTTGAAAACAATGAGAACAAAAACACAAATCACCAGACTCTCTGGGACACAGATAAAGTAGTGTTCAGAGGGAAATTATGGCACTAAGTGCCCACAAGAGAAAGCAGGAAAGATCTAAACTTGACACACTAAGATCACAATTAAAATAACTAGAGAAGCAATAGCAAACAAATTCAAAAGTTAGCAGAAGTCAAGTAATAATAACTAAGATCAAAGTAGAAATGAAGGAGATAGAGACATGAAAAACCTTTCAAAATATCAAGGAATCCAAGAGGTGTTTTTTTGAAAAGACTAACAAAATAGATAGACTGCTAGCCAGACTAATAAAGAAGAAAAGAGAGAAGAATCAAATAGACACAATAAAAAATGATTAAGGGGATATCACCACTGATCTCACAGAAATACGAACTACCATCAGAGAATACTATAAACACCTCTATGCAAATAATCTAGAAAATCTGAAGAAATGGATAAATTCCTGGACACAGACACCCTACCAAGATTAAACCAGGAGGTAGTTGAATCCCAGAATAGATGCATAACAAGTTCTGAAATTGAGGCAGTAATTACCAGCCTACCAACAACAACAAAAAAGCCCAGGTCCAGATGGATTCACAGTCAAATTCTACCAGAGGTACAAAGAGGAGCTGGTACCATTCCTTTGGAAACTATTCAAAATGATAGAAAAAATAGGGACTCCTCCCTAACTCATTTTATGAGGCCAGCATCACGCTGATACCAAAACCTGTCAGAGACATAAAAAAAAAAGAAAACTTCAGACCAATATCCCTGATGAATGTTGATGAAAAAAATCCTAAATAAAATACTGGAAAACCAAATCCAGCCACACATCAAAAAGTTTATCCACCACAATCAAGTCAGCTTTATCCCTGGGATGTGAGGCTTGTTTAACATACACAAATTAATAAATGTAATCCATCACACAAAGAGAATCAGTGACAAAAGCCACATGATTATCTCAATAGATGCAGAAAAGGCCTTTGATAAAATTCAATCCCCTTCATGCTAAAAACTCTCAATAAACTAAGTATTGATGGAACATATCTCAAAATAATAAGACCTATTTATGACAAACCCATAGCCAATATGTACTGAATGGGCAAAAGCTGGAAGCATTTCCTTTGAAAAATGGCACAAGACAATGAGGCTCTCTGTTACCACTCCTATTCAACATAGAATTGGAAGTTCTGTCCAGGGCAATCAGGCAAGAGAAAGAAATAAAGGATATTGAAATAGGAAGAGAGGAAGTCAAATTGTCTCTGTTGAAGATGACATGATTGTATATGTAGAAAACCTGATCATCTCAGCCCAAAAACTCCTTAAGCTGATAAGCAACTTCAGCAAAGTCTCAAGATACATAATCAATCTGCAAAAATCACAAGCATTCCTATACATCAATAACAGACAAGCAGAGAGCCAAATCATGAGTGAACTCCCATTCAAAATTGCTACAAAGTGAATAAAATACCTAGGAATGCAACATACAAGGGACATGAATGGCCTCTTCAAGGAGAACTACAAACCACTGCTCAAGGAAATAAGAGAGGACACAAACAAATGCTCATGGGTAAGAAGAATCTATATCCTGAAAATGGTCATACTGCCCCAAGTAATTGAGAGATTCAATGCTATTCCTATCAAGCTACCATTGATTTTCTTCACAGAATTAGAAAAAACTACTTTAAATTTCATATGAAACCAAAAAAGAGCCTGTATAGTCAACACAATCCTAAGCAAAAAGAACAAACCTGGAGGCATCACACTACCTGATTTCAAATTATACTGCAAGTCTACAGCAACGAAAATAGCATGGTACTGGTACCAAAACAGATATATAGACCAACAGAATAAAAGAGGAAAACCCCACACATCTAAAACCATCAGAAATATTCATGCCTCAGAAATAACACCATACATCTATAACCATCTGATCTTTGATAAATATGACAGAAACCAGAAATGGGGAAAAGATTCCTTATTTAATAAATACTGCTGGGAAAACTGGCTAGCCGTATGCAGAAAACTGAAACTGGACCCCTTCCTTACACCTTATAAAAAATTAACTCATGATGGCTTAAAGACTTAAAGGTAAAACCTAAAATTATAAAAACCCTAGAAGAAAACCTAGGCAATACCAATCAGGACATAGGTATGGGCAAAGACTTCATGACTGAAACACCAAAAACAATGGCAACAAAAGCCAAAATTGACAAATGGGATCTAATTAAACTCAAGAGCTTCTGCACAGCAAAAGAAACTACCATCAGAGTGAACAGGCAACCTACAGAATGGGAGAAAATTTTCACAACCTACTCATCTGACAAAGGGCTAATATCCACAATCTACAATGAACTCAAACAAATTTACAAGAAAAAAATGAACAACCCCATCAAAAAGTGGGCAAAGGATATGAACAGACACTTCTCAAAAGAAGACATTTATGCAACCAACAAACATGAAAAAAAGGTAATTATCAATGGTCATTAGAGAAATGCAAATCAAAACCACAATGAGATACCATCTCATGCCAGTTAGAATGGTGATCATTAAAAAGTCAGGAAACAACAGATATGGAGAGGATGTGGAGAAATAGGAACACTTTTACACAGTTGGTGGGAGTGTAGATTAGTTCATTCACTGTGGAAGACGGTGTGGTGATTCCTCAAGGATCTGGAACTAAAAATATCATTTGATCCATCAATCCCATTACTGGGTATATACCCAAAGGATTATAAATCATTCTATGATAGAGACACATGCACACATATGTTTATTGCAGAGCTATTTAAAATAGCAAAGACTTGGAACCAACCCAAATGCCCATTGATGATAGATTGAATAAAGAAAATGTAGTACATGTATATCATGGAATACTATGCAGCCATAAAAAAGAATGAGTTCATGTCCTTCGCAGGGACATGGATGAAGCTGGAAACCATCATTCTCAGCAAAATAACACAGCAACAGAAAACCAAACACTGCATGTTCTCACTCATAAGTGGGAGTTGAACAATGGGAACACATGGACACAAGGAGGGGAACATAACACACCAGGGCCTGTTGAGAGGTGGGTAACAAGGGGAGGTAGAGCATTAATATGAATACCTATGGCATGTGAGACTTAAAACTTAGATGATATGTTGATAGGTGCAGCAAACCACCATGGCACAGGTGTACCTATGTAACCTTCACATTCTTCACATGTACCCCAGAACTTAAAGTAAGAAACAATTTAAAAAAATTAAGAATAACTTACTGCCATAGAATTTACTGCAATGACCACATTTCCCATCACCTAGAAGCTATTGTCTAGATAGAACATTGGAATGGCCTCCAAAAGCGTTAGTCGTGGTGACACCTGAACATCCACCCTAAACACTTGGAATGCTTTCTTCTATATGTCTGACACACAGGATGTGCTCAGCGATTTTAGTCAACATAAACCTTGTGCCACATATATTTATGGGAGATTATTTTCACACTGATAAACATTCCCCCATGCAGCCTAATCAATGTCAATCTGCATTTCAATATCCACAAGATCCAGTTCCACATATTCCTATGATTGTCATTGTTTAAATTATCTGGATTTGCAATTTTAGCAGAATAAATTATTTTCTTATAGAAAAGGACCCTGTTTTCTACTTGCACTCTAATTATACCTGAAGCTAAATATTAATCTGGATGCAAAAAGGGATATCTCTGGGAAAGAGCATGAGACCTTTTTGAGGTAGATTTTGCACCTTTACAGATATTGAAGGTGCTATGATCTGAAGGCTCTCTACTAACAGCACATCCAACAGCTTAAATAAACTCTTCTTTCCTAAATGAAGGGCAGGGCATGTTCTCCTCAAGTACACCACAACATACACCTTATGACACTTGAATTTATATCTTTATATGAATTATCAGAATAGCTCCTTTAGGATTCTCTTACTTGAGAACTCAAAGAGAAAGGTTTGAGGACAAACTATGTCTCTTACCACTGCAGCTGATCTCAAGAGTTGCAACTGCTATTTACCTTCTTCTTCCTTACCAAATTTTTTTCCCCCTTCATCTTCTGCTAGCATTGCTACTGATCTCATAACTTATTTAGCGGAATAGTCCAGACTTTCATCCTAAAAACATCTCATCCCTGTTCATTATACCCATTCAGGAATGGACATCTGCACTTTCTCATTTATTACCACCATTGGAAAACGGAATGGTAAGATGTGCTCAACTTAGTAACCTGGAAGACAAAAGTATTATATCTTGCAACCATTGTGTTATAACACTTCCATTCCACATCATAATAAGGTCAATTACCTCTGCCACAGTTGTGGGAAGAGCCCTCTCTAAATCACTACAAATAGCAATCCTTCTTGTCATAGGAAAGCCAGATTTAATCCAATATTGTAATTCATGGGTCAAAATAAATAATAATAGGGCTCCTTAAAAACATAATTTATCCATTTTATCAACTAACCTTAAGTATTTTCATGACATTGAAAAGTGCGATTATTCCAGCCAATCAATAAATTTTCTTATATTTCAAAAGAAGTTGAATTGAGTTTCCCATCATTTGAACCAAAAACATGCAAACTGAAACAGCTGCATTTTATTTATTTTTTATTTTTTATCTTTTGAGGTGGAGTCTTGCTCTGTTACCAGGTTGGAGTACAGTGGTGTGATCTTGGCTTACTGCAACTTCTGCCTCATGGGTTCAAGTGATTCTCCTGTCTCAGCATCCAGAGTAGCTGGCATTACAGTCATGCATGACCACACACCCAGCTAATTTTTGTATTTTTAGTAGAGACAGGATTTTGCCATGTTTGCCAGGCTGATCTTGAACTCCTGACCTCAGGTGATCTGCCCGCATCAGCCTCCCAGTATTCAGATTGGTTCATTATCCTTTCAAAATTTAATTGCAAATTTTATATTTTGGGTTTCCAGATCAACTTTTAAAATTAAAACAATATCCAGATTCATTTGCTTTTACGTGGAAAGAAATGCAACATATGTTTGCCATTTTTCCTCAAAGATATATACGTAGTATAATGCCATAATTAGGTGAAATGAAATTTAGACATGAACATAATAAAATAATTCATTACCTTGATAACATTGTAATAGTTTCTCCCTCAGAAGAAGCAATGTGGAAGAATACAGGGACTATGGTAAATATTAGTAGTCTAATGTTCTTGATTGGTCTAGTCAAAAGATAGAGCTTAGACTAATCATGCAAGATTCTGGAAACAACATGGTCTGGGCCATCAGAGATATTTCACAAACCTTAGCAATTATACCACTAGATCTTCCACATCCTAGTAATAAAAAAAAATGACAAGGGTTCCAGAAAATTCATAATGGGAAGTTACTCATGCAGTGCCATTAGACCCAAGAACCGAATGCAGTCATTTTTGAAAGTGTATATATATGAACATATGCAGACTGAAGACTCTAGCAGAAACCTACTCCTGCCACCCTGTGATGATTATTGGGATTTGGGATTCAATAATTCCTGATAGCTTGTCCAGAGGAAGCCCATTGGATAGGCAGCTACTGAGAAGTTATTGGGCTTTCACAGAGACACAATTTAATGTCATTAATGGCTTAGCATAACAAAATATCTTAATAAAATGGAAATAGTATGTACAGAAACATATTTTAGGAGATGACTCTAGGAAGTATATCATATTCATAAGCATAACTTTCGGAAGAAAAGAAACCTCTCACAGAGGTTTCCACTCCTGTTGCTCAGGCAATTATACATTTCCTACCACAGAAAAACAGAATACTGAATTTCCCAATGGGATTTCCTAAATTGTGAGGTATGATTATTATGAAAATCTGTTGAAATTCTCATTCTGAATGGTAAAACCTTTGTCAAAGTAGGCAAAATTAATTCCTTTGAAAGACTATACATATACATATATAAAACATATATACACTATACATATATATTATATATATACTATACATATATTATATATATACTATACATATATATTATATATATGTATTATATATATGTATTATATATATGTATTTTATATATATATATATATATATATATGCAGCATATCCTTCATTGTGTGCAGCATTTGGTTCTTGCTCTCAGAGCAATGTCTGTGCATTTTCAGACTCCTGTATGGTAACTTCACCATTTGATCAGGCAGACAAGTCTCTGATGAATGGATGACGAAGAATTTTAGCAATAGAGAATGCTATTATGGAAGGTCATACAAGTATTCTAAGGGAAGTTTAAAGTGGGCATAGGATCCACCAAAGAACCCAGGTTTTGACTCAAAAAAGAAAGAGAAACCCACTGGCCTAGGATTTAGAGGTGGTAGCCACTTGGGTATATGCATGGATGACATATAATGATGAGCAGAATAATGACGTAGCCCACTAAGTCAACCAAAATGTGGTGAAGAAAAAAGTTCTGTAACAGTTTGAGGAGTATATGCTAGGGTCAAATATGACAACACAGTTTGTTGTCTATTTTAAAGGACCATTAGACATAGATCCTAGTGGTTTCAAATTAATTTATCCTTAAATAGATTTTTTTTTTTTTTTACCATTTTGGATTTCACCTAGTCTATGACCTAAGCCACAAATGACAACACTGTCAACCTACAGAAACACTACGTTCTAACAATTTGCCCACTCAATTACATCTCATTGATTTAAGGCACAGATTTCCACAAGGCACATGGACATAAATAGCCTAAGAAATACATCACATGGACACACTATACCCCTTAAAACTGACATAATAATGGCTTAATAAAAGCCGAAACTAGGCTCATAAGAATAATAAATTATTGGAAGAAAAAAATCTAGCAGATGGGAAAAGAGCATATAGATGGGTAATTACTCCTAGGGAGGACATGATTACTATTTTCCCATGAGATTATCTTAACTCTTGAGAATAGAACTCTTAACTCTTTCACTCATATATGACATGGAGTTATGGCCAGGAAGAGGTACTAGACCACTTTTCGCATGAATGGGAGAACTTAACTGAATTCCTTTAATACTCTGATTCAGAATTATATTATTTGTAGGAAACGCAAAATGCAACAAAAGGCTCTGTTAATAACATTGTATAAGAACAAATCAGAATTATAAATGCATGAAGAAGATAAAGGATAAAGAAGGAAAAGGAGTTGTCCAAATGATAAAAAAAAAAGATATGGTTTGGATCTGTGTCCCCACCCAAATCTCATGTTAAAATGTAATTCCGAGTGCTGGAGGTAGGGCCTGCTGGGAGGTGACTGGATTATTGCGGAATTTCCTCGTGGTTTAACACCGTCCCTTTTTGGTACTGTCATAACAATTGTGGGTTCTCATGGGATCTGGTTATTTAAAAGTGTGTGGCAGTTCCCTTTACTGCTCCTGCACCTGCCATGTAAGATGTGCCTGCTCCCACTTTGCCTTCCACATTGATTTTAAATTTACTGAGGCCTCCCCAGAACTGAGGAGATGCCAGCATCATGCTTTCAGTTACAGCCTGTGGAGCAATGAGCCAATTAAAACTCTTTTCTTCATAAATTACAGAATCTCTCTGATATTTCTTTATAGCAATGCAAGAGTGGGCTAATACAATAATTAGTACTGAAGAGTGAAGCATATCTATAAAGATACCTGAAAATGTGGAAGCAGCTTTGAAACTGGGTAACAGGCAGAGGTTGGAAGAATGTAGAGGGCTCAGAAGAAAGGAAGGTGAAAGAAAATTTTGAACTTCCTAGAGAATTTTTGAATGGCTCTGACCAAAATGCTGATAGTGAAGTGGACAGTAAAGTCTAGAGTGAGGAGATCTCGGACAGAAATAAAAAACTTAATGGGAACTGGAGTGGAAGTCACTTTTGCTGAGCTACAGAAAAGTCTGGCTGCATTTTGTCCCTGCTCTAAGGATCTGTCAAACTTTGAACTTGAGAATGATGATTTAGGGTATCTGGCAGAAGAAATTTCTAAGCAGGAAAGCATTCAAGATTTAGCCTGGCTCCTTCTATTAGCCTGGCTGCTTCTAATAACCTAAGCTCATATAAAAGAGCAAAGAAATGATCTGAAAATGGAACATATTTAAATGGGAGCAGAGTGTAAAAGTTTGAAAAATTTGCAGCCTGGCCATGTGAAAGAAAAGAAAAGCCCGTTTTCAGGGAAGAAATTCAAGCTGGCTGCAGAAATTTGCATAAGAGTAGCCAAGTGCTAAGCTCCAAGACAATGAGGAAAAACCCTCAAAGGCATTTCACAGACCTTTTCAACAGGACTTCCCATCACAGAACTGGAGATCTAGGAGAACTGAACAATTTTCTGAGCCAGAGCCAGGGCCCTACTGCCCTGAGCAGTCTTGGAAAACTGCTGTTTGCATCCCAGCCATTCCAGGTCCAGCCATAACTAAAAGGGGCCAAGGTACAGCTCAGGCCACTGCTTCAGAGGATGAAAGCTGTGAGCATAGAAGGCTTCCAGGTGTTTGTAAACCTACAGGTGCACAGAATGCAATGGATGAGGCTTGGAAGCTGCCACTTAGGATTCAGAAGATCTATCAAACAGCATGGATGCCCAAAGAGAAGCCTGCTGCAGGGGTGGAGCTCTCACAGAGAACTTCTATTCAGGCAGTGTGGAGGGGAAATGTGGGGTTGGAGACCATACACAGAGTACCCACTGGGGCACTGCCTAGTGGAGCTGTGAGAAGAGGACTACCATTCTCCAGACCCCAAAATGGTTGCTCCCCCAGCAGCTTGCTCTCTGTACCTAGAAAAGCCACAGTCATCCAGGAGCAACACCCAACCTAAGAGCAACTTTGGGGGCTGAACCTTCAAAGCCACATGGGTGGAGCTACCCATTGCCTTGGAAGCCTACACATTGCACGAATATGCCCTGGTTGTGAGGCATGGAGTCAAAAGAAATTATTTTGGAGCTTTAAGATTTAATGACTGCCTTGTTAGATTGCAGACTTACATGGGGCCTGTAACCCCTTTCTTTTGGCTGATTTCTCCACTTTGGAATGAAAGTATTTACCCAATTCCTGTAACTTCTTTGTATCCTGTAAGTTACTAGCTTGCTTTTGATTTTACAGACTTAGGTGGAAGGGACTAGCCTTGTCTCAGAGAAGCCTGGGCTGTGGACTTTTCAGTTAATGCTGGAATGGGTTAGCACTTTGGGGAACTGATTGTATTTTGAAATGTGAGAAAATGTGAGAGAAAGGTGAGAAGAGCATGAGGTTTTGGAGGGGTCAGTGCCAGAATGATATTCTTTTGATCTGTGTCCCCACTTAAATCTCATGTTGAAATGTAATATCAAAGGTTGGAGGTAGGGTCTGGTGGGAGGTAACTGGAATATGGGGGAAGTTTCTCATGGTTTAATGCCATTGCCCCTTGGTGCTGTCATCCTGACAGTGAGTTCTCATGAGATCTTGTGATTTAAAATTTTGTGTCACCTCCCCCTCTTGCTCCTGATGCTGTCTGGTAAAATGTATCTGCTCCCACTTTGGCTTCCGCCATGTTTGTAAATTTCCTGAGGCCTCCGCAGAAGTCAAAAACATAACAGAATCATTCTCCGTGTGCAGCTTATGGAGCAATGAGCTAACTAAGCCTCTTTTCTTTATAAATTACCCAGTTTCAAGTATCAATATTTTTACAGCAATGCAAGAATTAACTAATTCAAGGAATGTCTTAAAATTTGATAGTATAATTCTTAACTCTGGGATGTAGTCATTAATGGTGAGACATAAATCTGCTTAAGTTTCAATGGAGACTGAAGTATTTAATAAGTGACTCTAATCATGCAGAAATTGAACCATTTTTTCACCCCTCTGCACGGGTAAGCTGCTAATATTTCTACTCACACTTTCAAGCGTTCACCTATTTGAGGAAATAGAAGGGAGAAATGTATGTATTCTCAACATGCCTCTGTGCAATTCATTAATAAGCTAAGTATTTGAGGGTTGGGAAATGTCATAGCCAGTAGACCCACATTACAAAAAATACAAATACAAAAAAAAAAAAAATTCCTCAGCAAGAACAAAGCAGAGGGAGGAGCCAAGATGGCCAAATAGGAACAGCTCCAGTCTACAGCTCCCAGCATGAGTGACACAGAAGATGGGTGATTTCTGCATTTCCAACTGAGGTACCACGTTCATCTCACTGGGGAGTATCAGACTGTGGGTGCAGGACAGTGGGTGCAGTGCACCGAGCTTGAGCCGAAGCAGGGTGAGGCATCACCTCACCCAGGAATCACAAGGGGTCAGGGAATTCCCTTTCTTAGTCAAAGAAAGGGGTGACTGACGGCACCTGGAAAATCGGGTCACTCCCATGATAATACTGCACTTTTCCAACAGTCTTAGCAAACGGCACACCAGATTATATCCCACACCTGGCTCAGAAGGTCCTATGCCCACAGAGCCTTGCTCATTGCTAGTACAGCAGTCTGAGATCAAACTGCAAGGTGGCAGCGAGGCTGGGAGAGGGGTGCCCACCATTGCCTAGGCTTGAGTAGGTAAACAAAGCAGCCGGGAAGCTCGAACTGGGTAGACCCCACAGCAGCTCAAGGAGGCCTGCCTGCCACTGTAGACTCCACCTCAGGGGGCAAGGCATAGCCAAACAAAAGGCAGCAGAAAACTCTGCAGACTTAAATGTCCCTGTCTGACAGCTTTGAAGAGGGTACTAGTTCTCCCAGCATGCAGCTAGAGATCTGAGAATGGACAGACTGCCTCCGCAAGTGGGTCCCTGACCCTTGAGTAGCCTGACTGGGAGGTAACCCCCAGTGGGGGCAGACTGACACCTCACATGGCTGGGTACTCCTCTGAGACAAAACTTCCACAGGAATGATCAGGCAGCAACATTTGATGTTCACCAATATCCGCTGTTCTGTAGCCTCCGCTGCTGATACCAAGGCAAACAGGGTCTGGAGTGCACATCCAGCAAACTCCAACAGACCTGCAGCTGAGGGTTCTGACTGTTAGAAGGAAAATTAACAAACAAAAAGGACATCGACACCAAATCCCCATCTGTATGTCACCATCATCAAAGACCAAAGGTAGGTAAAACCACAAAGATGGGGAAAAAACAGAGCAGAAAAACTGGAAACTCTAAAAATCAGAGTGCCTCTCCTCCTCCAAAGGAATGCAGTTCCTCACCAGCAACTGAACAAAGCTGGACGGAGAATGACTTTGGAGAGTTGAGAGAAGAAGGCTTCAGACAATTAAACTACTCCAAGCTAAAGGAGGAAGTTCGAACCCATGGAAAAGAAGTTAAAAACCTTGAAAAAAATTAGACAAATGGCTAACTAGAATAACCAATGCAGAGAAGTCCTTAAAGGAGCTGATGGAGCTGAAAACCATGGCACAAGAACTACCTGACAAATGCATAAGCCTCAGTAACCGATTCAATCAACTGGAAGAAAGGCTATCAGTGATGGAAGATGAAATGAATGAAATGAAATGAGAAGAGAAGTTTAGAGATAAAAGAATAAAAAGAAATGAACAACACCTCCAAGAAATACGGGACTATGTGAAAAGACCAAATCTACGTCTGATTGGTGTACCTGAAAGTGACAGGGAGAATGCAACCAAGTTGGAAAACACTCTGCAGGATATTATCCACGAGAAATTCCCCATTCTAGCAAGGCAGGCTAACAGTCAAATTCAGGAAATACAGAGAATACCACAAAGATACTCCTTGAGAAAAGCAACTCTGAGACACATAATTGTCAGATTCACCAAAGTTGAAATGAAGGAAAAAATGTGAAGGGCAGGCACAGAGAAAGGTCGGGGTACCCACAATGGGAAGCCCATCAGACTAACATCTGATCTCTCAGCAGAAACTCCACAAGCCAGAAGAGAGTAGGGGCCAATATTCAACATTCTTAAAGAAAAGAATTTTCAACCCAGAATTTCATATCCAGCCAAACCAAGCTTCATAAGTGAAGGAGAAATAAAATCCTTCACAGACCAGCAAAGGCTGAGAGATATTGTCACCACCAGGTCTGCCCTAACAGAGCTCCTGAAGGAAGCACTAAACATGGAAAGGAACAACTGGTACCAGCCACTGCAAAAACATGCCAAATTGGAAAGACCATCGAGGCTAGGAAGAAACTGCATCAACTATCGAGCAAAATAACCAGCTAACATCATAATGATAGGATCAAATTCACACATAACAATATTAACCTTAAATGTAAATGGGCTAAATGCTCCAATTAAAAGCCACAGACTGGCAAATTGGATAAAGAGTCAAGACCCATCAGTGTGCTGTATTCAGGAAACCCATCTCATGTGCAGAGACACATATAGGCTCAAAATAAAGGGAGGGAGGAAGATCTACCAAGCAAATGGAAAACAAAAAAAGGCAGGGGTTGCAATCCTAGTCTCTTATAAAACAGACTTTTAACCAACAAAGATCAAAAGAGACAAAGAAGGCCATTACATAATGGTAAAGGGATCAATTCAACAAGAAGAGCTAACTTTCCTAAATATATATGCACCCAATACAGGAGTACCCAGATTCATAAAGCAAGTCCTTAGAGACATACAAAGAGACTTAGACTCCCACACGATAATAATGGGAGACTTTAACCCACTACTGTCAACATTAGACAGATCAATGAGACAGAAAGTTAACAAGGACATCCACTAACTGAACTCAGCTCTGTGCCAAGTGGACCTAACAGACATCTACAGAACTCTCCACCCCAAATCAACAGAATATACACTCATTTCAGCACCGCACCATGCCTATTCCAAAACTGACCACATAGTGGGAAGTAAAGCACTCCTCAGCAAATGTAAAAGAACAGAAATGATGACAAACTGTCTCTCAGACCACAGTGCAATCAAACTACAATTCAGGATTAAGAAACTCACTCAAAACTGCTCAACTACATGGAAACTGAACAACCTGCTCCTGAATGACTACTGGGTACATGATGAAATGAAGGCGGAAATAAAAATGTTCTTTGAAATGAACAAGAACAAAGACACAACATACCAGAATCTCGGGGACACATTCAAAACAGTGTGTAGAGGGAAATTTATAGCACTAAATGCCTACAAGAGAAAGCAGGAAAGAACTAAAATTGACACCCTAACATCACAATTAAAAGAACTAGAGAAGCAAGAGCAAACGCATTCAAAAGCTAGCAAAAGGCAAGAAATAACTAAGATCAGTGCAGAACTGAAGGAAATAGAGACACAAAATCCCTTCAAAAAATCAGTGAATCCAGGAGCTGGTTTTTTGAAGAGATCAACAAAATTGATAGACCGCTAGCAAGACTAATAAAGAAGAAAAGAGAGAAGAATCAAATAGATGCAATAAAAAATGATAAAGGGGATATCACCACCGATCCCACAGAAATACAAACTACCATCAGAGAATATTATAAACACCTCTACACAAATAAACTAGAAAATCTAGAAGAAATGGATAAATTCCTTGACACATACACCCTCCCAAGACTAAATCAGGAAGAATTTGAATCTCTGAATAGACCAATAGGCTCTGAAATTGAGGCAATAATTAATAGCTTACCAACCAAAAAAAGTCCAGGACCAGATGGATTCACAGTCGAATTCTACCAGAGGTCAAAGGAGGAGCTGTTACCATTCCTTCTGAAACCATTCCAATCCATACGAAAAGAGGGAATCCTCCCTAACTCATTTTATGATGCCAGCATGAGCCTGATACCAAAGCCTGGGAGAAACACAACAAAAAAAGAGAATTTAAGACCAATATCCCTGATGAACATCGATGCAAAATCCTCAATAAAATACTGACAAACTGAATCCAGCAGCACATCAAAAAGCTTATCCACCATGATCAAGTGGGCTTCATCCCTGGGATGGAAGGCTAGTTCAACATATGCCAATCAATAAACGTAATCCAGCATATAAATAGAACCAAAGACAAAAACCACATGACTGTCTCCATAGATGAAGAAAAGGCCTTTGACAAAATTCAACAACCCTTCATGCTAAAAACTCTCAATAAATTAGGTATTGATGGGACTTATCTCAAAATAATAAGAGCTATCTATGACAAACCCACAGCCAATATCATACTGAATGGGCCAAAACTGGAAGCATTCCCTTTGAAAACTGGCACAAGACAGGGATGCCCTCTCTCTCACCACTACTATTCAACATAGCTTTGGAAATTCTGGCCAGGGCAATCAGGCAGGAGAAGGAAATAAAGGGTGTCCAATTAGGAAAAGAGGAAGTCAAATTGTCCCTGTTTGCAAATGACATGATTGTATATCTAGAAAACCCCATTGTCTCAGCCCAAAATCTCGTTCAGCTGATAGGCAACTTCAGCAAAGTCTCAGGATAGAAAACCAATGTGCAAGAATCACAAGCATTCTTATACACAAACAACAGACAAACAGAGAGCCAAATCATGAGTGAACTCCCATTCGCAATTGTTTCAAAGAGAATAAAATAGCTAGGAATCCAACTTACAAGGGACCTGAAGGATCTCTTCAAGGAGAACAACAAACCACTGCTCAAGGAAATAAAAGAGGATACAAACAACTGGAAGAACATTCCATGCTCATGGGTAGGAAGAATCAATATCATGAAAATGGCCATACTGTCTAAGGTAATTGATAGATTCAATGCCATCCTCATCAAGCTACCAATGACTCTCTTCACAGAATTGGAAAAAACTACTTGAAAATTCATATGGAACCAAAAAAGAGCCCGCATTGCCAAGGCAATCTTAAGCCAAAAGAACAAAGATAGAGGCCTCATGCTACCTGACTTCAAATTATACTACATGGCTACAGTAACCAAAACAGCATGGTACTGGTACCAAAACAGAGATATAGACCACTGGAACAGAACAGAGTCCTCAGAAATAATGCCACATATCTACAACTATCTGATCTTTGACAAACCTGACAAAAACCAGAAATGGGGAAACAATTCTTTATTTAATAAATGGTGCTGGGAAAACTGGCTAGCCATATGGAGAAAGCTGAAACTGGATCCCTTCCTTACACCTTATACAAAAATTAATTCAAGATGGATTGAAGACTTACATGTTAGACCTAAAACCATAAAAACCCTAGAAGAAAACCTAGGCAATACCTTTCAGGACATAGGCATGGGCAAGGACTTCATGTCTAAAACACCAAAAGCAATGGCAACAAAAGCCAAAATTGACAAATGGTATCTAATTAAACTAAAGAGCTTCTGCACAGCAAAAGAAACTACCATCAGTGTGAACGGGCAGCCCACAGAATCAGAGAAAATTTTTGCAACCTACTCATCTGACTAAGGGCTAACTAATATCCAGAATCTACAATGAACTCAAACAAATTTGCAAGAAAAAAATGAAAAACCCCATGAAAAAGTGGGCAAAGGATATGAACAAACACTTCTCAAAAGAAGACATTTATGCAGCCAAAAGACACATGAAAAAATGCTCAACATCCCTGGCCATCAGAGAAATGCAAATCAAAACCACAATGAGATACCATCTCACACAAGTTAGAATGGCGATCATTAAAAAATCAGGAAACAACAGGTGTTGGAGAGGATGTGGAGAAATAGGAACACTTTTACACTGTTGGTGAGACTGTAAACTAGTTCAACCATTGTGGAAGCCAGTGTGGTGACTCCTCAGGGATCTAGAACTAGAAATACCATTTGACCCCGCAATCCCATTACTGTGTATATACCCAAAGGATTATAACACATGCTGCTATAAAGACACATGCACACATATGTTTATTGCCACACTATTCACAATAGCAAAGACTTGGAACCAACCCAAATGTCCAACAATGATAGACTGGATTAAGAAAATGTGGCACATATACACTATGGAATACTATGCAGACATAAAAAAGATGAGTTCATGTCCTTTGTAGGGACACGGATGAAGCTGGAAACCATCATTCTCAGCAAACTATCACAAGGACAAAAAACCAAACACCACATGTTCTCACTCATAGGTGGGAATTGAACAAAGAGAGCACATGGACACAGGAAGGGGAACATCACACAACAGGGTCTGCTGTGGGGTGGGGGGAGTGTGGAGGGATAGCATTAGGAGATATTATGTTAAATGACGAATTAATGGGTGCACCACACCAACATGGCTCATGTATACATATGAACTAACCTGCATGTTGTACACATGTACCCTAAAACTTAAAGTATAATAAAAAATAAGAAAAAATAAGAAAAGTAGCTAAATGCCAAATAATGTGAAAAGCTGTTAATATGTAAACAAAAACTCAAAAGTAAATTGACTAGTAAATTATGAATTTTATATTGTGAAATATTTAGGTGTGGCAAGTAATATTTCAGCAAGAATGAAAGGAGAACCAGCCCCAGGTTCTATTCTCTAAAAATATTCCCAGTAAGGAGGGCTTTACCCTTCCTGTTAGAAAGTCCGTGCCCAAGAAGCCCTGAGGCTCAGAGGTAGAGCTCCTGAGAGTGGAAGTTGACATTCTGATTCTTGGAAAGGTAGGTAATCATAGTTCTGCAGTTTTAGGTTAGAATACGGGCTTTTGATCAAGGCCTGAATCTATGTTACATATAACCATAATAATCTGTAGTCCATTAATTCAATCTTTTAATTTTATTGCAATATCAATTCAGTAACTGTTTCTACAATAAAGAAATTTGTATTTGCCAACAAGGGAGCAGTGCTTAAGGGCTTCCATTGTTATTTCTCTGACTTGGCTTATCATTGGCTCCATTGAACACCTTCATCTCATCATATGTTAATTAAATATTGGATCTTTCTGTCATAAGAGCCTTAGATAGAGTCCCATAAATACCTAACTGAACGAGCTAACGTCTTTATCACATAACGGGCTCCACTAAATGTTGGTCATTTTCAACCTACCTAATAAATGTTTTAAATTCATCCACCACAAATGTAATATGTATTACTGCTAAAATTTGAAAAGCCTGTCTATAATCGCTGTGCTGTCTTACTGGTATGTGGTAAAACATGCACAAACATATGTTTATTTCTAGAGAACTATCAGATATAATCAAAGATACCGTGGTTTAAATTGTGACTCCAAGATGAAGAACTAATATATGAGAATAAAACCTAATCCTCTATGTCCCTTACAGCTGAATTCAAACAACTACTAATGCCAACACCCAGTGTGGAAGTGGATCCTTCCTCAGCCAAGCCTTCATATGAGATGGTAGCCCCAAGAAGCACCATGATTACAGCTTTGTGAGAAAATTTATAACCACGGGAACCTGCTAAACCATCCTTAGTTTCCTCACCTACAGAAATTGAAAATGAGCACAAATTGTTTGAATCACCAAATATTGAAATAATTTTATATGAATAAATACATAACTCATAAATGTATCTAGAATAAACTTCAAATACTGGGAAACATGCCAATAAATATTTAATGAACCTATGAATCAAAGAAAAAGGTATAATGTAACTAAGCAAATAGTTAGAACTAAGCAATAACAGAAACACATCAAAATTTGTGAGGTGTAATCAAAACAGCACTTAAGGAAAATGCATAGCTATAAATGCTTTCACTTAAAATAAATGTTTAAAAGCAGCCATCTGATCCATCACCTTAAGCTAGAAGAAGAGTAAATAAAAGCCAAGGTAAGTAAACAAAAGGACATAAATATAAGATCAAACACCAATAAAATGGAAAACATAAAATACAGAAAATAAAAATTGCCAAAAATTGGTACTTTTACAATTAAATTGATAACTTGCTAGCAAGGGTTATCAAGAGAAAACAACAAGAAATTCAAATTACCAATATCAGAAATCATAAAACAAATAATCATCCCATAGACCCTTTAGACTTTAAAAGGTTTGGAAAGTATTGTTATAAAATACATTATTTCAATTAATTTGACAGCTTAGATAAATTAGGTAAAACATAGGGAAAGGACAACTTTCTAAAAATGACACAAAAAGAAACTGAAACACTCCTATCTCTTTCCAAGTAATGAGCTATCTTTACTTGTACATTACATGATAGTGTTTCGAAAAACCCTAAAGAATCTAAAGACATAACTTTGTGGGAATAAGAAGTAAATTTAGCAAGTTTATGGGACGCAAGGGTCAAATTAAAAATTCAATTTCCTTTATATATACTAACAACAATAAAAATTGGATTTTTTTAAAAAATTAAAAATCTATGATGAAATCTGAAAACCTAAACACTTAGGAATAGATAAGGAAGATCCATACACTAATAAAAATTATAAAACTCTTCACAAATAAACATTTAAAACACCTAACAGATATACGGTATTCAAGAATTAGAAAACCCAATATTGTTAAGATGTTATTAATACAAGATGTTTTATAGATAAAACTTAAAAATGAATAAAACTCCAATATTTTTGAGATGTGCTCTTTTTCATATGTACACAATTGTTCTGCATGCTGCTCTGCAAAATTACTTTGCCACTTCCCAATCAAGCGTTATCTTCTATTTCTGTAAAAACTCAAATCTGGGGTGGTCATGTGACCACTCGATGGAATAGAACATGATGCAAGTGACATTACGCCATTTTTGGACACAGCACTTAACTGGCTGAACCCTTCTGCTTTCTCCCACTGAGATCTCTGGGCACCACGTAAAAAGCCTGACTATTCTCTGGAGTGATCTTGCGATCCTTCATCTAAAGAGATAGGAACAGGGACCCAGTGCAACTCTTACTGTCATCCCTTGCAATATACTATAAATGTGAGTTAAGTTATACTGAATCCTACAGAATACTTAGTTATCAGGTGAATAAGAGGTTGACTTCAATACTTGCTACACAAAACAGAAGAAATACCCTGCCAGCAACTGCCTGAATTCCTGGCTCACAAAATTTTGAGATAAAATAAAATGATGGTTGTTTTATCTCACAAAAACTGTGGAGTCATGCACCTTACATGAAGACAGGATCAGAATAAAAAGTAATACCTCAAGGAGTGGTGTTTCCATAACAACAATTTAAAGTGTATGGCATTGATTGGCTTTATTGCCCAAAATTAGGGGCCACCAGGATATTGTAAGTGAATGCTCAACAGACAGAAGTATTCCAGAGGCTGTAAAAAAAGTGAGTTGCTATCCAGTGCTGAAAAAATGTGTAATTCTGTCACCTATAGGAAGGTAGAAAATAAAAAATGTGCTTAAGTGAATAGGTGGATTTGGCTAAAATTTCCAAATAGAATATTTAAAATTGCAGCTGTTTCTTAGAGCAGTGTATCATATAATAAGGCATAGATTTTTTAAAAATTACTGAAAATATTAACTGTAACATTTTCAGACAGAATTTGCAGGAAACATAAAAGAACCAGAAATTGTTGCTTTCAAACATAAAACTGGTTCCCCTTTCCAGTCTCTGCAAAGAGCTAAGTACTCTAAAAGTAAGAAAGGTCATCAAAATAAATGCTATTTCAAAATTATGGATGTTAAGACACTTGTAAAGACTACAGAAAAATTTGATGGTGTGTCTCGTAAGTACCTTAAACTAGAAAACATAATTCTAAGATACTTAAGAGTATTATATGACTGCATATACAATTTCAGCTCAAGTCTGAGAAGGGCCAGTTTTAAAGATATTTGTGAATACGGTGCTTGTATATTTCATAAAGTCTTTAAATAAATTGTGCAGAAGGAAGCACCACAGCTTTCCCTTTTGAACAGGAGCATCTATTTTATTACCTATTCCTCCCTGTCTCCATTGTGTGCTGAGCATGTGGAAGAAATGCCCTGCCTCAAACATCTGTAAATAGGAAAAGCCATAATTTAAAACGTGCAAAATAAGACCTGCACCCAAGAAGCCCCATCCACACTCAGTCTGGATATAGAAGTTGAGATCCTGAACTTCAATCAGATATCATGACAGGATGACTTCTTAATTGAGGTGGGAGCATCTAAATCCTGTCCTTGGGATCCTTGACTTGCCCTTAGAAACCTGAAAACTTCACTGGGAAGACCATTACTACATACCTCCTTACCTACATGAGGATGGACCCTGTTATTCTAAATATAGTTACCTTTTTCACCAAGAGTTTTTCTATAACATTTCTCATCTCTGAATTTCTGAAAGTGTATATTAAAGGATTCAACTTGGGTGTGATAACTGTATAAAAGACAGTCATGAATGTGTCAATAGAAAAGTTTGAAACAGGTCTCACATATATGAAAATACAGGGAATAAAAAGAGAACAATCACAGTGATGTGGGAGCTGCAGGTAGACAGGGCTTTATGCCTCCCTTCCTGAGTGTAAGTTTTAAGGGAGTTTAGGATGACCCTATAGGAAATTATTAGAAGGGTGAAGATGACCATACAGAGTGCTCCACCACTGAAAACAACAGTGAGGCCTATAAAGTAGGTGTCAGTTCATGCCAGTTCCAATAATGGATACATGTCACAACTGAAATGATCAATGACATTGGCGCCACAGAAAGGGAGACTGTACACAACAACAATTTGAAACACAGAATGCACAAAACCGCCTGTCGCAGCCACCAGCAATGCAAGGATACAAACCTGTCGAGTCATGATGGTCAAATAGTGCAATGTCTTACAGATGGCAACATAGCGATCATAGGCCATCACCACCAGAAGGAAGGCCTCTGCACCACCAAAGAAGTGGTCTATAAATAGTTGGCCCATGAACGTTTGGAAGGAAATAGTCTTTTTATCACAGAGTAAGTCCACAATCAATTTGGGAGAAATGACAGTGAAATATGCAGCATCTATAAATGACAGGCAGGCAAGGAAGAAGTACATTGGGGAGCCCAAGGAAGGGCTGGCAATGATAGTCACCACAATGAGCTGGTTCCCCAACACAGTCACAACGTATGTGAATAAAAACATGACAAATAATTCTTTTTGCATACCAGGATCCTGAGAGAATCCCAGGAGGACAAATTCTGTAATGCTGTTATTAGGTCTCATTTACTCTTCTCTCAGGCTTGTATCAGAGGTGAGAGCTCAGGAGAACAGGACCTGTAATGCAGTAGTGAACAGGAATATGATTGCATCCATTGTGTCTCAGAGCACATCTTCATCATTGTATCCTCAATACTCACTTACACACAGTAAACATTTAGTAAGTCTCTATTGAGTTCCTCACACAAAGAGCCCATCTTCCCTTGATGATTCTATTACTCCTCAAAGATTTTAGTTTCAGCCACAGGTAAATGCCTCTACCTCTAAGTTTTAGTGAATATCCTACACAGAAGAAGAGTTAAAAGTCCCAACAGCCATTCATACCTTTCATAACCTCTTATTTAAAACATTTTTCTTGGCCAGAAGTCAGCTGTGATGAATAGTCAATGGCTTCTTGTTCTCAAGAAACCTACTCTCTGATGTTGGTAATAAACTCTAAATAAACAAATTGACATAGATTTAGTCTTTGTGTTTGTAATTGTGGTATCTTTGTAATATGATCTGTGTAGCACCAAGAATAACACGTGAAATATCTCACTCAGTACTCTGGCCTTCTACTGTTAGATTTCATTCTTTCATGCCTCAAAGGATGTTCAGTCTTCATTAGTCTTTCATTAAATGTCAAAAGACAGGACTCTGAACTATATAAATTCTATGATGTTATTTATCACATTGTTCCCTTTAGCAATTACGTGGTCTGACTCTCTGTCCACCTTATAAGGAGCTGTGATTCTCTCCATTTTATCCTTGTCTACACCCCAATTTTTACAACACTTACATACCATATTCTAATTATAAACAATTAATTTTGAACTCAAGTGAGCCAACTCATGACTATCACCAACTACCAAAAAGCAGTGAGGATTTTTTTTTTTTCTGAATTCTTGAGTTGAGCTAGGTAGTGAAAGAAGAGAATGTAGACACTGTAGAAAGAGGTACAGAACAGTGGGACATGGTTTTATTCATAACAGTATATAGATACCAAGAGTACTCAAAAATAGAATCCTAGTTACCAGATTACAAAAAGAAGCACACTCTAAGAGAAATTCCAAATTCTGTGTAAGAAGGCATGATTTGAGTCATTTTCTGAATGCATTTACAAGTCTGTTTCAGTTTGCTCACTGGAAAACACTGAGATTAAAATTGAGAAATTCAGAATCCTTTCTGGTCAACTATTTACAAAGCTATTAGTGCACTTCTCCTTTATGGTATTCTGCTGATAATTTTTTTCATTTTTTATAAATTTATAATTAAATAAAAATTCCAAGCTCATAACTGTTACATGACAAATGGTAGTCAGTTGGGCAAGAGTTTTCATGATTACAGTGAGTAAATAGTGACTATAAGTTTCTCACTCAGTATGTACCTATTTAAGATCCAAGACATCCTTGGAGAGAAAGTGTAGCATGTGGTGAATAATGTGGACACTGGAGCCACACTGCTTCAGCTACAACTTCAGCTTCACCATTTTTTATGAGATTTTGGGCCATTTACTAAAGCTCTCTATCCCTTACTTGCATCATTTATAGAACGAGGATCCCAATAGCCCCTAGAGTTGTTGTTTTATTAAAACAAAGTAAAGTGCCTAGAACACTGGCTGGCATCTCTTAAGGGCTCAATAAATGATAGCTATTATTACTGTTCTTGAATGCTTTACTGAATACATAGAATGAGAACAAATCATGCAGATATCTGTCAACTTGAAAAGATTTATTCACATAGTCCAGGAAAAAAGGATAAGATACCTATCATTCAGGAAAGATGTTTGTGGGCAAACAATAAAATTGTATCCCTTAGAAAATAATGATTTAATTATATGAGTAGTAACTTTAGCTGTGATGGAATGTATCTTAATGAGAAGCAAACAGAATTATAATAAAAAGTTGGACCCACCATGGGGGAGAGATCTGGAAATGAAAAGAAGGCTAAAATAAGAAAATAGAGAAATTGTAGCTAACAAATTAGTATCCACAGCAATAAGAAGATCTATGGGATGATTAAGTGAGGTTAGTATTCTTTTAAAATCCTCTTCAGAAAGATCCCATTTAGTAAGGAAATCCTGAAAGTGCAACCTCCTGTGGGTCCCTGGGGAGACTCAGGAGGTTTTTTTGGGGTAGCCAAAACAAACAGGGACCAGAACCTAGTAAAAAAAAAGAAAAGAAAATTCAAAAGAAAGAAAGAAAAAAACCATTGTTTCTCTAAGTCTCTAGATCTGACAGTTAAGGACAAACCAATTACTGAGAACAATGGGATAGGTAGAGATAAAAACCCAGACTTTCTCATTGTTCACTGCTGAAGAAAACTGCAGAATTACTAAAACTCAAATTTAGACAGGATGATTCCATTTACATGATCTGGCAGTGAAAGAGGACGTGTGCAGAGAGAGTTTGAGCTGTCTCTAGATGCCAGCTATGATGAACATTCCACATGTTTCCTTCATGTTACCACTTCCAGCTGATTCCGGAGTTCTGTCATTGTTGAAGCTATAGACTGATAGAGACACATCTACTGAAGAACATAAGGGAATAACGTAGTCTGGAGCCAATTCTGTTTTTTTTTAACACCTTACTTCCTGCAACGTTGAGTGACTTTTCCCTCTTCCATCATCAAAACTTGATTTCAACAGGAAAATCCTTTTGGAAATTTAAATGTTTACTTGTAAAAAATAGGGTATGTAAACTATTTTCTATAGTTTAAGTAATTAAAAATTGAATACTTTAGAAACTGAAAGATAGCATTACTAGGCTTTCAGTGTAAACTGCTAAGTTAACATTTTTCTAGAAAAAAATGTTTTGACACACTTTCTTAGAACTCCCATTTTCAAAAGATAAAATGACATAACAAAAATCTGTATAATATTATATTTCACAGTCACAGATTTATAAATCTATTTAAGTGACACTAGACTGGGTACTTCCCTGAGCATATATATCTACTAGTATGTTTGCTGGGATATTTTTAGATTCATAAGTAGAAACCCATATTTTGCTTCCAGAACATAACAGGCATTGGTTCCTTCACATTCTAACACACTTGACATGATCTGCAATTTTAAACTCCCTAATCAAATATATCTGAAAGTGATTGTACACCTTTATTAATATATTATATAAAATATAACATCTCCAAAACTAAGATTATGATTATAAATCTATTGGTTTATTATGTCCCATGTAATATGGGACATATTTTTCTTCTTATTCAGCAAACAGAAAAGGAAAACAAATTATGCTCTATATTAAAACCAAAAATACATTGCATATTCTGAAAAATTTTTATGCTTGCTAACTTAACTTTCCCAATTAGATTCCTTCAATGAAATCATACGGTATTTAAGACATTAGCTACATTTCAACATATCACATGAATTCTCAATGAATATCTCTTGTCAGTGATTTCAAATACTCACATCATGGTCCAGAAAAGCAATGCTTCTTTCACTGAGCATTAATCTCAATACCTCATGCATCTATGTGTGACCATAGAACACATGAATATGAATGGCTGATCTATAGATATGGAATTAGTTTCTAGTGGCTACAATTTCCTCAATTCCACACAGGGTTCTCATTATCTCAGTCATTAGAGAAGTATAGCACTATCCAAAGCAGATGACCAAAACATAAAGATGCTTAAACACAATGTAGAAAGGTAGTTAAATATTCTCACCTGCTGGAAAATTTCTTCATTAAAAAAACAGAGACACTATTGTTGCATGATTATGTTAAAATCGACCTAATTAGTAGAAATTAACCAGGACAAGACCTTTATTTTGTGACACAAGGGAACAAAAATGTACCAACACTAAAATTTGTTACATGAAAGTTTCCTAGATTATAGTGAAACAACCATAAGTACTTGACTGAGACTCAGGATTTATGATAACCTTCATGTGCCCAGCTATTACGCTTTGTACCTAACAGGGACAAGGCAGAAATTTAAATTTATGGAAAAAACAATAACAGAGCATTCTCACAGGCAGAAGCCAAACTCTTCAGTTTTTCAGTCATTCACATATTATTCAAACAGCATACCCCTAAGTCCACTTCTTTCCTGATTAAAAACATGTCTTTATATCTCCCCCACCTCAGCCCAGTAAATTGAGAACTTTCACAAATTTTTACACGAAATGGAGGATATGACAAGAAAACATCACACCTAGAGGACTAGAGTCCAACTGAAGGCATGCTCTACCTTGGGAAGAAATTTAACTCTTCAGATATCTCTTGGGTTATTCTATCAAGAAAATAATTATCCCATTTATGTGTAGACACAATCTATGACTTTTACATCATCACTATTTTAAATATAAGAGAGAGTAAGGTCATTATAGATTAGTTAATTTGAATATTTGGAATTAATTCAAATGAAGTAAACTCTCTGAGCACCTTGTTTTCCCCTTACAAAATCTCTAGAGGCAAAAGACGTGGGTCTCACCAAGGAAGTACAGGTAACTGCAAAGTAATGTGAAAAGCCCATAATGTGAAAAGAAAAATTCTAAAGTAAATTGAACAATAAATTATGAGGTTCACATTATGAAATACTCAGGTAAGGCAAGTAATATTTCAGCCAGAATGAAGGGGGAACGAGCCCCACGTTCTCTTCTGTAAGCATATTCCCAGCAAGGAGGCCCTTATGCTTCCTGTTAGGAAATCCATGCTCAAGAAGCCCTGAGGCTCAGAGGCAGAGAGCCTAAGAATGGAAGTTGACATTCTGATTCTTGAAACAGTAGGTAATCATAACTCTGCAGTTTTAGGTTAGAGTACAGGCTTTTGATCAAGGCCTGAATCTGTAGTCCATTAATCCAATCCTTTAATTTTATTCCAATATCAATTCAGTAACTGTTTCTACAATAAAGAAATGTGTATTTACCAACAAAGGAGCAGTGCTTAAGCGCTTCCATTGTTATTTCCATGACTTAGCTTACCAATGGGTCCATCGAACACCTTCATCTCATCATATGTTCAGTTAAATATTGGATTTTCTGTGTCATAAGAGCCTTAGATAAAGAGTCCCATAAATACTTATTTGAACCAGCTAAGGTCTTTTTCACTCAAAGGCTCCATTAAAAGTTGGTTTTTTAAAACTTAACTAATAAATGGATTAAATTCATCCACTCCTAATGTAACATATATCACTTCTAAAATTTGAAGACTATGTCTACAAGCACTGCGCTCTCTTACTGGTAACTGGTAAAAGATACATAAAAATATCTTTAATTCTGAAGAACTACCAGATATGATCAAAGATACCATGGATTAAATTATGACTCAAAGGTGGAGAACTAATATGGAAATAAGCCATAATTTTCTGTCCGTCCTAGCTGAATTCAAATAACCACTAAGGCTTTCCACATTTTGGAATGACACAAAAGTGTTTGTTAGATCAGATGAGGCCTACAACAGCCCAGAATCTGAATTTATTTGCTCCAATAATAAAAAGTACATAAAAATATTAACTAATGTAGAAATTGCCAAAAATGTGCCATAGTCCATAGTAATAATCTGCAATCCATACCTATTACTAAGCTAGAATGTTAAATATAGTTACAATACACATTTCTTTTTTTAAGGAGAAATGCATGTATATTAGTTCATTCTCATATTGCTATCAGGAAATACCAAGACTGGGTAATATATAAAGAAAATAGCTTTAATTGAATCACGGTTCCGCATGGCTGGGGGGGGGGTGCGACTCAGGAACCTTACAATCATGCCTCTTCACAGGGTGACAGGAGAGAGAATGAGTGCCAGGAGGGGAAATGCCAGATGCTTATAAAATCATCAAAACTCAAGAGAACTCATAAATATTGAGCTATATATAATGAATAAATTCCGGTAATGTAAAGTACAGCATGAGGACTATAATTCACAATACAATATTACATATATATATATATATATATATATATATATATATATAATTCCATACTGGATACATATTTTCTTTACACGTTCATCTTTGATAGACTTTTTTTTCATATCTTGACTACTGTGAATAATGATGCATTCATTATACATGGAAGTGCAGGCATCCTTCAAGATATTGATTTCATTTCCTTTACATATATTATGAAAAGTCACATTACTAGATCATATTTTTAATTTTAATTTTTTGAGGAAGCTCCACAGAGTTTCCTATAATGGCCATAGCAATTTACATTTCCAACAACAGTGTGCAAAGGTTCTCTTTCCTATGCTGAAACATAAATGCCACATGATCTCACTTATATGTGCAATCTAAAAAATGTTCCAACTCATAAAAGCCAGAGACTAGAATGGTGGTTTCCAGGGGCTGGGGCTGAATGAAATGAGATGTTGGTCAAAGGGTACAAAGATTCAGTTGTGCAATGTGAAAAAATTCTGAAGAGTTCGAATACAGGTCATTGATCATAATTAGTGATACATATTGGTTACACGAAGTATGCTAAGAGAATATACATTAAATGTTCTTATCTCAAATAAAGGTAACTTTGTGAGATAATGGATACATTAGCTACATAGTGGTAGTCACTTCACAAGGTATACATATATCAAACATCATATTGTACACTTTAAGTACATAAAATATTTTTGAAATATACCTCAATAACACTAGAAACAACAAAAACAAACAACACTTGAAACACAACAACAAAAGTCATTACCAATATGCTTGGTATGGCAAAAGCAGGTGAACCTGGACAAGTGCTGCACAGTACTCTCCCTGGAAGGTGGTATTGAAGCAATGAAGTGAAGAAAAACACCCCAGTGAGTGGTATTTTGACTTTGGTTTTCACTTCATGTGGAAAGAGAAATAGCCTGAGTTATGGGTCCATAAAGACTCGGGAACATGGGTAACAGATTTGCTAAGAAACTGAGGAAATTGGAAATTTAAAAATGGAAAAAAGATTACAAATCTGTTGGAGTGGTATGGATATCCCAGAATGGGCACCGATTGCAATAGTTTCCCACATAGATGCCTATCAAAGAGAATCTACCACAGAGAAGGCTTGCAGAAATCTGGTCAGCAACAGATTGCAATATTTTAGATGTCAGTCAGGCTTTTTTTTCTCCAGTCATCTTTGTAGTCCCTATGGCAGAGACGAATACATTACAAGGGCTCAAAAAAGCACGTAGTAGTCTGCTTTCACCATGGCTACTCTGGCTACTGCCAGTGCTCAAGTTGCAAAATGCCATCAGCAATGTCCATCATTGACTCTCTAACATGGCACAAATAGCTAGGGAAACAAGCCAACAACTGTGTGCCAGCTTACTGCGTTGCAAATCTTAATGTGTTGGAGACAGCCACTTGTCATTATATTATATATTCTGGTTATATGATTGTCCCAGTACTTTAGCCTTATTTATTATTTATGGGGAATGATCCATTATCCATTGCCATGTTACCATAATCATTGTCATTTCTAATTAGGGGATATATTTTCTAGTAAATAAAGTAAAGCAAATTACTCACCACCATAGAGTTCACTGCTATGACCACATTTCCCATCACCTGGAAACTACTGTCTAGATTGAACATTGGAATGGCCTCCTAAAACGTGAGTCATGGTGCCACCCTGAACATACCACCCTAAAAACTTGGAATGCTTTCTTCTATGTGTCTGACACACAGGATGTGCTCAGTAATTTTAGTCAACATAAACCTTGTGCCACATATATTTATGGGAGATTATCTTCACACTGATAAACATTCCCCCATGCAGCCTAATCAAAGTCCTTCTCCATTTCAATATGCACAAAATCCAATCCCACATGTTCCTATGATTATCATTTAAATTATCTAGATTTGTAATTTTTAACCAAATAAATTATTTTCTTCTCGAAAAGGTTCCTATATCCTACTTGCACTCTAATGATAGCTGAACCTAAATGTTAAACTGGATGCAAAGAGGGACTGCTCTTGGAAAGGCCATGAGACCCTTGTAGAGGTGGCTTTCTGCACCTTCTACAGATATTGAAGGCATTATCATCTGAATTCTGTCTACTGACAGCATGCCCAACAGATCAAAAAATAAATCCTTCTTTCCTAAGTGAAGGGCAGGGCATGACCTCCTCTTACACATCATAATATACCCCTTATATTACTTGAATTTATTGAATTTATATATTCCTATAGGTTACCAGAACAACTCTTTTAGGATTCTCTTACTTGAGGAGAACTAGGAGAGAAAGTTTCGAGGACAAATTGTTTCTTGCTGCTGCAGCTGATCTCAGAGTTGCAACTGCTATTTACCATCTTCTTCCTTATCATTTTTTCACACTTCACCTTCTGCTAGCATCTCTACATATTTCATAACTTATTTAACAGGATAGTCCAGACTTCATCCTCAAAATGTCTCATCCCTGTCCGTGATACCCACTCAGGAATGGACTTCTGCACTTTCCCACTTCTTATCATCATTGGAAAAGGGAATGGCAAGATGTGCTCAAATAAGTCAACTGGAAGAAAAAAGTATTATTTCCTACCACCATTGTCTTATAACATCTCCAATCCACATCACAATCAGGTCAATTACCTCTGCCACAGTTGTGGGAAGAGCCCTCTCTAAATCACTGCAGATAGCAACACTTCATATGATAGCAGATCCAGATTTAATCCAATATTGTGACTCATGGGACAAAATAAACAAAGAAAAGGGCTCTTTAAAAATAAAATTGATCCATTTTATCAACTAACTTCGAATATTTTCATAACATTGAAAAGTACAATTATGCTTGTCAATGAATATTTTTATATTCCAAAAAAGTTTTAATTCAGTGTTCTATATTTGACCAAAAACATCTGAATGAAACAGCTGCATTTTCAATGTGTTTATGAAATGACTTTAATTTACAAGAACTTTATTTTATTTACATGAATATTTCAAACAGCACCATATTATTTTAATTGTTATAACATTAAAATCTCTCTTATTAAGAATGGTTCATTCATCTTTCAAAATTTAATTGCAAGTGTTATATCTTTTTGCTTCCAGATCAACTTTTAGGATTAAAAAAATATCCAACAGTGTTTGCTTTTTGTGGAAAGAAATGAAACATATGGTTGTCATTTTTCCCAAAAGATATATGCTTAGCATAACATCATAATTTGGTGAATGAAATTTATTTATTTATTTTATTATACTTTAAGTTTTAGGGTACATGTGCACAACGTGCAGGTTTGTTACATATGTATACATGTGCCATGTTGGTGTGCTGCACCCATTAACTCGTCATTTAACATTAGGCATATCTCCTAATGCTATCCCTCTCCCCTCCTCCCACCCCACAACAGGCCCTGTTGTGTGATGTTCCCCTTCCTGTGTCCATGTGTTCTCACTGTTCAATTCCCACCTATGAGTGAGAACATGTGATGCTTGGTTTTTTGTCCTTGCGATAGTTTGCTGAGAATGATGGTTTCCAGCTTCATCCAAGACCCTACAAAGGACATGAACTCATCATTTTTTATGGCTGCATAGTATTCCATGGTGTATATGTGCCACATTTTCTTAATCCAGTCTATCATTGTTGAACATTTGAGTTGGTTCCAAGTCTTTGTTACTGTGAATAGTGCCACAATAAACATACGTGTGCATGTGTCTTTATAGCAGCATGTTTTATAATCGTTTGGGTATATACCCAGTAATGGGATTGCTGCGTCAAATGGTATTTCTAGTTCTAGATCCCTGAGGAATCGCCACACTGACTTCCACAATGGTTGAACTAGTTTACAGTCCCACCAACAGTGTAAAAGTGTTCCTATTTCTCCACATCCTCTCCAGCACCTGTTGTTTCCTGATTTTTTAATGATCGCCATTCTAACTTGTGTGAGATGGTATCTCATTGTGGTTTTGATTTGCATTCCTCTGATGGCCAGTGATGATGTGCATTTTTTCATGTGTCTTTTGGCTGCATAAATGTCCTCTTTTGAGAAGTGTTTGTTCATATCCTTTGTCCACTTCTTGATGGGGTTGTTCTTTTTTTTCTTATAAATTTGTTTGAGTTCATTGTAGATTCTGGATATTAGCCCTTTGTCAGATGAATAGATTGCAAAAATTTTCTTCCATTTTGTAGGTTGCCTGTTCACTCTGATGGTAGTTTCTTTTGCTGTGCAGAAGCTCTTGAGTTTAATTAGATCCCATTTGTCAATTTTGGTTTTGGTTGCCATTGCTTTTGGTGTTTTAGACATGAAGTCCTTGCCCATACCTATGTCCTGAATGGTATTGCCTAGGTGTTCTTCTAGAGTTTTTATGGTTTTAGGTCTAACTTATATGTATTTAATCCATCTTGAATTAATTTTTGTATAAGGTGTAAGGAAGGGATCCAGTTTCAGCTTTCTACATATAGCTAGCCAGTTTTCCCAGTACCATTTATTAAATAAGGAACCCTTTCCCCATTTCTTGCTTTTGTCAGGTTTGTCAAAGATCAGTGGTGTAGATATGCAGCATTATTTCTGAGGGCTCTGTTCTGTTCCATTGGTCTATATGTCTGTTTTGGTACCAGTACCATGCTGTTTTGGTTACTGTAGCCTTGTAGTATAGTTTGAAGTCAGGTAGTGTGATGCCTCCAGCTTTGTTCTTTTGGCTTCGTATTGACTTGGCAATGCAGGCTCTTTTTTGGTTCCATACGAACTATAAAGTAGTTTTTTCCAATTCTGTGAAGAAAGTCGTTGGTAGCTTGATGGGGATGGCATTGAATCTATCTATTACCTTGGGCAGTGTGGCCATTTTCACTATATTGATTCTTCCTACCCATGAGCATGGAATGTTCTTCCATTTGTTTGTATCCTCTTTTCTTTCATTGAGCAGTGGTTTGTAGTTCTCCTTGAAGAGGTCCTTGTAAGCTGGATTCCTAGGTATTTTATTATCTTTGAAGCAATTGCAAATGAGAGTTCACTCATGATTTGTGTCTCTGTTCTTTGTTTTTGGTGTATAAGAATGCTTGTGATTTTTGCACATTGATTTTGTATCCTGAAACTTTGCTGAAGTTGCCTATCAGCTGAAGGAGATTTTGGGCTGAGACAATGGGGTGTTCTAGATATACAATCATGTCATCTGCAAACAGGGACAATTTGACTTCCTCTTTTCCTAACTGAACACCCTTTATTTCCTTCTCCTGCCTGATTGCCCTGGTCAGAACTTCCAACACTATGTTGAATAGGAGTGGTGAGAGAGGGCATCCCTGTGTTGTACCAGTTTTCAAAGGGAATGCTTCCAGTTTTTGCCCATTCAGTATGATATTGGCTATGGGTTTGTCATAGATAGTTTTTATTATTTTGAGATATGTCCCATCAATACCTAATTTATTGAGAGTTTTTAGCATGAAGGGTTGTTGAATTTTGTCAAAGGCCTTTTCTGCATCTAATGAGATAATCATGTGGTTTTTGTCATTGGATCTGTTTATATGCTGGATTACATTTATTGATTTGCGTATCTTGAACCAGGCTTGCATCCTAGGGTTGAAGCCCACTTGATCATGGTGGATAAGCTTTTTGATGTGCTGCTAGATTCCGTTTGCCAGTATTTTTTTGAGGATTTTTGCATTGATGTTCATCAGGGATATTGGTCTTAAATTCTCTGTTTTGTTGTGTCTCTGCCAGGCTTTGGTATCAGGATGATGCTGGCCTCATAAAATGAGTTAGGGTGGATTCCCTCTTTTTCTATAGATTGGAATCGTTTCAGAAGGAATGGTACCAGCTCCTCCTTCTACCTCTGGTAGAATTCAGCTGAGAATCCATCTGGTCCTGGAGTTTTTTTGGTTGGTAAGCTATTAATTATTGCCTCAATTTCAAAGCCTGTTATTGGTCTATTCAGAGATTCAAATTCTTCCTGGTTTAGTCTTGGGAGGGTGTATGTTTTGAGGAATTTATCCATTTCTTCTAGATTTTCTAGTTTATTTGCATAGAGTTGTTTATATTATTCTCTGTTGGTAGTTTGTGTTTCTGTGGGATCGTTGGTGATATCCCCTTTATCATTTTTTATTGCATCTATTTGATTCTTCTCTCTTTTCTTCTTTATTAGTCTTGCTAGCAGTCTATCAATTTTGTTGATCTTTTAAAAAAAACCAGCTCCAGGATTCATTGATTTTTTGAAGGGTTTTTTTGTGTCTCTATCTCCTTCAGTTCTGCTCTGATCTTAATTATTTCTTGCCTTCTGCTAGCTTTTGAATGCGTTTACTCTTGCTTCTCTCGTTCTTTTAATTGTGAAGTCAGGGTGTCAATTTTAGTTCTTTCCTGCTTTCTCTTATGGGCATTTAGTGCTATAAATTTTCCTCTACACAATGCTTTGTATGTGTCCCAGAGATTCTGGTATGTTGTGTCTTTGATCTCGTTGGTTTCAAAGAACATCGTTATTTCTGCCTTCATTTCGTTATGTACCCAGTAGTCACTCAGGAGCAGGTTGTTCAGTTTCCATGTAGTTGAGCAGTTTTGAGTTCGTTTCTTCAACCCGAGTTCTAGTTTGATTGCATCATGGTCTGAGAGACAGTTTGTTATAATTTCTGTTCTTTTATATTTGCTGAGGAGTGCTTTACTTCCAAGTATGTGGTCAATTTTGGAATAGGTGTGGTGTGGTGGTGATAAGAATGTATATTTTGTTGACTTGGGGTGGAGAGTTCTGTAGATGTCTATTAGGTCCACTTGGCACAGAGCTGAGTTCAGTTAGTGGATATCCTTATTAACTTTCTGTCTCATTGATCTGTCTAATGTTGACAGTTGGGTGTTAAAGTCTCCTATTATTATTGTGTGGGAGTCTAAGTCTCTTTGTATGTCTGTAAGGACTTGCTTTATGAATCTGGGTGCTCCTGTATTGGATACATATATATTTAGGAAAATTAGCTCTTCCTGTTGAATTGATCCCTTTACCATTATGTAATGGCTTTCTTTGTCTCTTTTGATCTTTGTTGGTTTAAAGTCTGTTTGATCAGAGACTGGGATTGCAACCGGTGCCTTTTTCTGTTTTCCATTTTCTTGGTAGATCTTCCTCCATCCCTTCATTTTGAGCCTATGTGTGTCTCTGCACGTGAGATGGTTTTCCTGAATTCGGCACACTGATGTGTCTTGACTCCTTATCCAATTTGCCAGTCTGTGGCTTTTAATTGGAGCATTTAGCCCGTTTACATTTAAGGTTAGTATTGTTATGTGTGAATTTGATCCTGTCATTATGTTAGCTGGTTATTTTGCTTGATAGTTGATGCAGTTTCTTCCTAGCCTCGATGGTCTTTACACATGGCATGATTTTGCAGTGGCTGGTACCGGTTGTTCCTTTCCAGGTTCAGTGCTTCCTTCAGGAGCTCTTTTAGGGCAGGCCTGGTGGTGACAAAATCTCTCAGCATTTGCTTGTCTGTAAAGGATTTTATTTCTCCTTCACTTATGAAGCTTGGTTTGGCTGGATATGAAATTCTGGGTTGAAAATTCTTTTCTTTAAAATTGTTGAATATTGTTCCCCACTCTCTTCTGACTTGTAGAGTTTCTGCTGAGAGGTCAGCTGTTAGTTTGATGGGCTTCCCATTGTGGGTACCCCGACCTTTCTCTCTGCCTGCCTTTCACATTTTTTCCTTCATTTCAACTTTGGTGAATCTGACAATTATGTGTCTCGGAGTTGCTCTTCTCGAGATGTATCTTTGTGGCATTCTCTGTATTTCCTGAATTTGAATGTTGGCCTGCCTTGCTAGATTGGGGAATTTCTCCTGGATATCATACTGTAGATTGTTTTCCAACTTGGTTCCATTCTTCCTGTCACTTTCAGGTACACCAATCAGAAGTAGATTTGGTCTTTTCACATAGTCCCATATTTCTTGGAGGTTTTTTTCATTTCTTTTTATTCTTTTTTCTCTAAACTTCTCTTCTTACTTCATTTCATTAATTTGATCTTCCATCACTGATACACTTTCTTCCAGTTGATCAAATCAGAAATTTAGACAGGAACATAATGAAAATTAATTCATTACTTTGATAACTCTGTAATAGTTTCTTCCTCAGAAGAAGCAACGTGGAATATTACCAGGAGTACAGTAAATATTATTAGTGTGAAGTGATTGATCAGTCTAGTCAAAAAACAGAGCTTAGAGTAATCATGCAAGACTCTGGGAAAATGTGATACGTTACCATCAGAGACATTTCCCAAACCTTAGCAATTATACCACTAGCTCTTCCACATCCTAGTAATAAGAAAGAAATGACAAGTGCCATAGAAAATTCATAATGCAAAATTACTCATGCAATGCCATGATACCCAAGAACATTAATGTTCATTCATTTTTGGAAGTGTAATATATATGAACATATGCAGATTGGAGACTCTAGCAGCAAAGTAATCCTGCCATCCTGTAATGATTATTGGGATTTGGGATTCAATAATTCCTGATAGCATGTCCAGAGGAAGCCTACATGATAGGAAACTACTGAGAAGTTATTGGGTTTTCATAGAGACAACTTATTGTCATTAATGGCATAGCTTAACAAAATATCTTAATAAAATAGAAATAGTATGTATACAAATATATTTTAGGAGGTGGCTCTAGGAAGTATATCATATTCATAAGCATGAATTTCAGCACAAATGGAACCTCTCACAGAGATTTCCACTTCGGTTACTCAGTAGTATGAATGCAATTGTCCATTTCCTACCAGAGAAAAACAAAATACTGAATTTCCTGGTGGAATTTCTCTAATTGATGAGTATGATGATTATGGAAATCTGTTGAAATTCTCCCACTGAATGGTAAAACCTTGGTCAAAGAAGGTGAAATTAATTCCCCTGAAGAACTATATGTACTAGCAGCATATCCTTCAATGCACGTAGCATTTGGTTCTCCATGCAATTTCTACATAGTTTCAAACTGCTTTGTGGTATTCTTGCCATTTGGTTAGGCAGAAAAGTCTCTGATGAAGGGATGACGAAGAAATTCAGCAAGAGATAATGTTACTATGGGAGGTCAGACAAGTGTTCTGAGGGAAGTTGAAAGTGGGCATAGGATCCACTGAAGAACCCAGGTTATGACTCAAAAAAGGAAGAGAATCCCACTGGCATAGGTTTTGAGGTGGTGGCCACTTGAATATATGCATGAATGACATATAATAATGAGCAGAATAATGACATAGCCCACTAAGCCACTCAAAATATGGTGAAGAATAAAGTTCTGTAACACTATGAGGAGTATTTGCTAGGTTCAAATATTACAACACAGTTTGTTGGCTATTTCATAGACCATTAGCCATAGATCCTAGTGGTTTCAAAGAGATCTATCCTTAAATAGATTGTTTTCCATTTAGGAATTGACTTAGCCTATGACCCAAGCGACAAGGGACGACACTTTCAAGTGACAGAAATACTACCTAATACCAATTTGCCCATCCAAGGTATCTCATTGATCTAAGGCACAGATTTTCTTATGGCCCGTGGACATAAATGGCTAAAAAGTCCATCACATGGACATATTATACCCCCTTAAAACCCACATAATAATCGCTTATTAAAAGCTGAAATTGGGTTTAAAAATGTAATAAGTTATTGAAAAAAATAGCAGATGGGAAAGGAGCACATAGGTGGATAATAATTTCTACAAAGAACATGATTATTATTTTCCCATGAGATTATCTTGACTCTTGAGAATAAAACTATTAACTGTTTCTCTCATATATGACATGAAATCAATTATTGTCAGGAAAAAATACTAGACTTCTTTTCATATAAATGAGAGAACTTAACTGAAGTTATTTAATGCTCTGCTTCAGAATTATATTATTTGTAGGACATGTACAATGCAATAAATGGCTCTGTTGATACAATTGAATAAGAACAAATCAGAAATAAAAATAAATGAAGACGATAAATGATAAAGAAGGAAATGGAGTATTCCAAATGATTTAAAAAATAAATGATATGGTTTGGACCTGTGTCTCCACCCAAAACTCATGTAGAAATATAATCCTCAATGCTCGAGGTAGGGCCTTGTGGGAGGTGACTGGATTGTGGAGGAAGTTTCTCATGATTTAACACCATGCCTTCTTGGTATTGTCATCACAGTAATGGGTTCTCATGGGATCTGCTTGTTTTAAAAGTGTGTGGCAACTCCCCTTCTTGCTCATGCCCCTGCCATGTAAGATGTGCCTGCTCCCACTTTGCCTTCCACTATAATTGTAAATGTGCTGAGGTCCCTCTAGAAGCTGAGGAGATGCGAGCATCTTGCTTTCACTTACAGCCTGTGGAAAAATGAGCCAATTAAACCTCTTTTCTTTATAAATTACAGAGTCTCTCTGATATTTCTTTACAGCAATGTAAGGATGGACTAATACAGAAAATTAGCACCAAAGAGTGGGACATTTCTATAAAGATACTTGAAAATGTGGAAGCAGCTTTGGAATTGGGTAACAGGCAGAGGCTGAAAGAGTGTAGAGGGCTCAGAAGAAGCCAGGAAGGTGAGAGAAAGTTTTGAACTTCCTAGAGATGAAAAACTTAATGGCAACTGGATGGAATAAAGGTCACTTTTGCCGAGCTTCAACAGTCTGGCAGCATTGTGCCCCTGCTTTAGGGATCTGTCAAAGGTTAAACTTGAGAGTGATGATTTAGGGTATGTTGCAGGAGAAATTTCTAAGCAGCAAAGCATTCAAGATTTAGCCTTGCTGTGTCTAACAACCTATAACTCATATGAATGAGCACAGAAATGACCTGAAACTGGAACTAGTGGGAAGCAGAGTGTAAAAGTTTGAAAAATTTGCAGTCTGGCCACATGATAGAAAAGAAAAGCCCATTTTCTGGGAAGAAATTCAAGCAGACTGCAGAAATCTGCATAATAGGAACCAAGTACTAACAGGCAAGACAGTGGGAAAAAGTCCTCAAAGGCATTTCAGACACTTTTTCAGCAGCCCCTCCCATCACAGGCCAGGAGACCTAGGAGAACTGAATGGTTTTCAGGGCCAAGCCCAGAGCCCTGTTGCCTTGAGCAACCGTGGGACACTGCAGTGTGCATCTCAGCCACTCCAGGTCTAGCTGTGGCTAAATGGGCCCCAAATACATCTCAGGCCACTGCTTCAGAGGATGAAAGCTGTGAGCTTTTAAGGCTTCCATGTGGTGTTAAGCCTGCAGGTGCACATACTGCAACAGATGAGGCTTGGGAGCCTCCACCTAGGATTCAAAGGATGTATCAAAAAGCCTGGAATCCCAGAGAGAAGCCTGCTTCAGGGGTTGAGCATCACAAAGGATCTGTACTAGGGCAGTGCAGAGTGGAAATGTGGGGTTGGAGCAAACACACAGAGTACCTACTGGGGAACTGCCTAGTGGAACTATGAGAAGAGGGCTACCATCCTCCAGACCCCAAAATGATAGATCCACCAGCAGCTTGCACCCTGCACCTAGAAGGGTCACAGTCCCCCTCAAGAGCATCAGAGGAAATTAAAGAGTAACTTTGGGGTCTGAAACCAGTAAAGCCACATGAGTGGAGCTACCCAAGGCCTTGGAAGACTACCCATTGCACTAGTATGCCCCAGATGTTAGGAATGGTGTCAAAGGATATTGATTTGGAATTTTAAGATTTAATGACTGCCCTGCTAGACTTCAGACTTGTATGGGGCCTGTAACCCCCTTTTTTTTTTGGCTGATTTCTTCATTTTGGAATGAAAGTATTTAACCAATTCCTATACCTTTTTTGTATCTTGGAAGTAACTAGCTTGCTTTTGATTTTACAGGCTTGCTTTTGATTTTACAGGCTCAGGGGGAAGGGACAAGTCTTGTCTCACATAAGACTGGACCATGGACTTTTTAGTTAATGTTGGAATGGGTTAACACTTTGGGGGAATGTTGGGAAGGCATGATTGTATTTTGAAAGTTGAAAAGATCATGACATTTTAGAGGGGCCAAGAGCAGAATAATATGGTTTTGATCTGTGTCCCCACCCAAAGCTCATGTCTAAATGGAATATCCAAAGTGTAGGTGGGGCCTGTTGTTAAGTAGATTATGGGGGAAGTTTCTCGTAGTTTAATACCATCCCCCCTTAGTGCTGTCAACATGACAGTGAGTTCTCATGACAACTTGTGATTTATAATTGTGTGTTATCTTCCCCTCTTGCTTCTGCTGCTGTTCTAATTTTAGAGAAAGTTATCTTCATATAAAACTCAGGGCAGGAGAGGACTTTGAGAAGCATGTGCAGAGGACAGGAGGACCTTCTTCCTGAGTTTAGCTTCCTCATCTCTGCATCATGGCTTGGGTGGTGAAACTTCAATCCCACTGTGCTCACTCCAGTATCCAGATGTTGGATTCCCCAATTCCAATGATTATGAAGTTCTAATTCCTGATATGAGATTCCTTTCTTACTAAAAAATCTACAGCACTTTTCATTTCCTTAACTAAAGAATAAATACAATTTCATGGCTTATTTTTTTTTCAATATGTGTTGAATAACTGGAAGCATTAATATTGCTAAGTGCATTAAGTACATCTATTATAAACTGAGGAAAGGAAAAAGAAAAAAATACCAACTTTTTACCTTAATAAAGATGGTGTAGGTTGACTTCAACAAGGCAATATGTTATGCCATAGCCATTAAAAATTATCTTTGTAATACCGTATTAGTTCTCTAAACCCACTGTAGAGCAACTCTAAACAAAGAAGACACCTTTGATGTATCACTTTGTATCACTTCAGTCAATGAGATCATATAGTTCACAGAGATTCTGAAAGCTACTTATTGTGTAAAGCAAAACAATCCGTTTGAAAAATGTTTGACATTCATTGTGTGTGTGCGTGTTTTTAAAGTGCACCCAGAGAGTTTAATGTGGGTAGATTCTGTGGAATCTACTGTTATATATGAGTGGCTTAAGCACCTATTTCAGCTATTGGGGGAGGTCAATTGATCTAGGTATACAGAATGAGATTAAACAATTTTTCTGTTCAAAAACTGGTCAAATTATACAAAAACAACTATATGCTATCTGGACATCCTAACTCCATCACAGTATGAAATTAACAAAGTTTATTTCTCATTGATTTATCCTCAGCTATCAACATATCTATGAAACTTTAAATTCATTAATTTCACCAAGACATTTATTTGTACTGTTAGATTAACATTCTTTTAACAATCTAAATTTTCACGTTTAATATATCATTCTCTTGGATGAAAGGGAACAAATTTTCTTAGATCACATTTATATGTGCCAGGAAGATATCACAGACCATAAAGAAGAATAGATTTTTGATGTTACCACACACAAAAAATCAATGTTGGGGAGGTGACAGATATATTCATTAGACTGATGAAATCTTTCTATAATGTATACATAGATCAGAACATCACATTGTACTCCATAAATATACCCAATTATTGACAATTTAAAATACATAAAAAAGAAAAATAAATAAATGATTTTTAAATAAAAAAGAGCTTGAAATAAAACTAAATATTGTTATCAACCAAAGAATCTTAACACAGTATGATTACAAAAACAGTACACACTGTTAAACCTATGCAATTTTCTTGGTCTGTAATGGGTGTAACATATTACACCTAGACAAATATTAATTTATATGACTGCTTCAGAATAAGTAAGCTAAAAAACTAAAAGGAAATGATAACAGAAATGTAATCAGATAGGATAGTGAAATTGTTCCTTGCTTCTGTGAAAGAATGAATGTCACATTCTCATGAGTGATACAGCCATTTCCCAGCTAAGCTTACTTTTTTACTCCAAAGTTTCCTCATGGCACTTTTCATTTCTGCATTCTTCAGGGTATAGATTAGTGGGTTCAGCATGGGAGTTATAAAAGTTAGAACTACAGTCATGGATTTATCAATGGGAAAAGTAGAATTGGGCCTTGCATACAAGAAGATACAGGGGACAAAGAATAAAATGACCACAGTGACGTGGGATGCACAGGTGTAGAAAGCTTTTCGTTTCCCTTCCAAACTCTGAGTCTTAAGAGAGTGTAATATGACCCCATAGGAAAGCAGGATAGTGAAGAAGGTGACAGCACAAATCGCTCCTCCATTAGCTATCATAGAAAGCCCAGTGACATAGGTATTGGTGCAAGCAAGTTTCAATAAGGGATACAAATCACACAGGAAGTTGTCAATGACATTGGGTCCACAGAAAGGGAGCTGATAAATAAAGAGAAATTGAACCAATGAGTGAAGAAAGCCTCCAATCCAGGCCGCCAACAGCATAAGAACACAGACTCGACGATTCATGGTGATCAATTCATGAAGAGGCTTACAGATGGCCATGTATCGATCATAGGCCATTACCACCAGAAGAATGACTTCAGCACCAGCAAATAAATGATCCATAAAAAGTTGAGCCATACAACCCTGAAAGGAAATGGTCTTTTTCTCAGAGAGCAAGTCAACAATCATTTTGGGAGCAAATGCAGTAGAATAGACGGTATCTATGAATGATAAAGAAGCCAGAAAAAAGTACATGGGGGAACCCAGGGACTGGCTGGCCATGATGGTCACTATGATAAGCAGGTTGCCCATTATCGTCACCATGTAGATTAGTAAGAATGTGACAAATAAAACCTTTTGCCCCTCAGGGTTCTGTGTGAGCCCTAAGAGGATAAATTCAGTCACATTGTTCTTATTTTTCATGTGTTCTTCTGAAGGTGTTGGACTCAGGTGTCGGAGCCTACAAACAAAAGGGTCAGTGATAAATTTGAGATTATTTGTCAGAAGCTCCATGTCAAAAATGTGATGCCTTATCGACCACGTTTTCCCTGACCAGGGCCTCACACAGAGCAGCTCATTAGAAAAGAAGTGTTTAGAATATCCTCCCACAATTATCCTTTTCATTTTTACAAATGGGACATGGATGAAGCGGGAAACCATCATTCTCAGCAAACTATCACAAGAACAGAAAACAAAACACTGCATGTTCTCATTCATAAGTGGGAGTTGAACAAGGAGAACACATGGACACAGGGAGGGGAACATCACACACCGGGGCCTGTTGGGGAGTGGGGAGCTAGGGGAGTGATAGCATTAGGAGAAATACGCTATGCAGGTGATGGGTTGATTGGTGCAGCAAATCAGCATGGCACATGTGTACCTATGTAACAAAGCTGCACATTCTGCACATATACTCCAGAACTTAAAGTATAATTTTAAAAAAAGAATTTTAAAAAATACAAATGTATTGCTTTAACTGCAATGATGAGGCTTCATGATTTTAACTGGAAGGTATATGTGAGTGAATATATATGTGAGATAATCTATTACAGATCAAAATAGAGCTGCTTTCTTGAGAACATCCCTTAAAAAGACTGTATTTTTGATATTTATATAGTATTTATCTTTTTTTGAACAGATTTTGTCCTTCCATGATCTATCAAGAAAACAGCCTCATATGTGTTGACTTTACTTATATATTTATGTAAAGTAGTACCCAGTATATGGAGCATAAGATTACAGGCTAATGTTTAGATATTTGCCATTCTGAAACACTGTACTGTGAGCTCCTAGAATCCAGGAATAACTCGCTCAAAGAACCAGACACATTGTGAGTGCTCACTAAATGTTTATTAAATTTTATTAAACCAAATTTCAAAGCTCAGAGAGCAAGTATGTGGAAATAAATGTATTAAAATCTTGCCAGCCATGAAAGTCCAATGAAAGCAAAGTTTTATTTGAAAAGAAACTACACACACACACACACATATACACACACACACACACTGAATTTTCATCTATTACAACGTAGGTCATTAGAGGAAAAAAACAGGTAATACAAATCAAAGTCGGGGGGCAATGCAGAGACATTTTCCCCACTTTTCGCATTTGTTTAAGACTGATCATGGCTAATTACAGATTAATTTGGAATGTCAAAAATAAAGACTCCAGGCAAAATCATGGTGTAGTAGAAATAATTCTATACTAAAAATCTGAAAATATTAGTTGATTTTGAGCTTAGTCATCTCAGGAAAATCACATCCCACCTTATAATTCCTTACTGGAAATGTAATGATCCTTCCAGATAAATGAGTTTCTGGATTCTTATCATTGACACCTGTATCCTAGACAACATGATGACATTTTTGCTGGTAGACCATTTTTATATAAACCAGGTTTAGTATGTGCTAAAGGTTATTTAATTATTAAAGTAATTAATACATAAGGGTTTTTTCATATTATTAGTTCTTGGTTATTGGAATTTATGTCAAATACAAAATATTCATTCTCACTTGAGTAAAATAAATCAAATAATCTGTTGGGCCTTTCAGATGTGATCCAGGCCCAATTTTATGTGTCATATACACAAGTTTGTATTAGCAGGATTATTTTAAATATGCTCTGTGTTAGTGATGATCATTTGTGATAGTCAGGAGATTATTCTATCTATGCATCAAAGCAAGCCAAGACATCTTTAAGGATCAGAGGGAGAGTAAAAGTGTAGACATAAATAAAATAAGAGATAACTTAGTAAAGGCATATGGAAATAAGTAAAGGCCACAAGCTGAATGAAATATTGGTAAGCATTTTGGGTGAGGGAACTGAATTAGTTGAGAGCAGAAGAATATCAGATTCCCAGAGCTGTCAATCAGGAGGTGGCCAGAAAGGTAACTCAGCATCAGTATCAGCACTTGCTTCTAGGAATCTTTATACATTTGGGCCAAAGAAAAATAAGAAAATCAGATTTTAAACTTTAGGGTAGGTCAGTAGGTAAGATTAGCTTCCTTGGAAGTTCTGTCTTTGGGGATTCTGATATTTTGTTGCATATATACATAATTAAATACCTTTACTGGCAATTATGAAACTATTCTGCATTTATAATGGAAATGAGTACTCATAATTTATAGGAGCTATCTGAGCATTCAAGAGAAAACTTCCAGTAGGACAGTCTCTCCTGTTGACATTTTGTACTTATAACACTTATTTGTTTATATCATTTTAAGTACTCAATAGATATTTCACTTATTAAAATGTTCTTAAGAGCATTACTATTATTCTAAACTACCGAAAATTATCACTTTGAATGATTCAAAATTCTGTATTTTATCAATGTATTTTATGAAAAAGTATATATCTGATTGAAACATTTGTAATATTCTTCAAATTTCTTAACATATTCAATGAGAACAAGTAAATCATTAAGAAATACTCAAAAAAGTGAATCTGTGATAGGTATCCCAGAGTAACAATTTTTACAAAATATCAATGAGAACAAGTAAATAATTAAGAAATACTCAAAAAAGTGAATCCATGATAGGTATCCCAGAGTAACAATTTTTACAAAATATAAAAACTTGTATTCTGAAAAGTCTACTTCCTAAGTAAATTTATGCACCTACACATACACCTTATTAGAAACGGTAATTTAGTGTCCATGGAAAAAGAGGTTATAAATTTCATTAGGTACAAGATCTACAGAAGCTTAGGGAAAATGCCAACATCAATTTCTGCCTGTGAGTTAATTATGTGAATATGTCCCTATTTTTAGGGTTTTAAAATTGTAGTGAGTAAAACTGGACACATCATGTTATGTACCCAATTGATCCCCTAATCTATAAAAAGGTACCTCAGATTAAATTAGTTTTAATGATACATGTCAAAGAGCTATGGAGAAAGACAGATGGTGAATTTTCACATGGTGATGTGAATGTTATTTGGGGTATATGCACAAAAGAATAGAAATCAAAGACTGAAACAAATATTTGGACACTGATGTTCAATAGCAGAATTATTCACAGTAGCCAAAAAATGGAAACAACTTGAATGCCCATCAATTAATGAATGAATAAACAAATTGTAGTATATACATACAAGGGGATATTATTCAACCTTAAAAAGCAATGAAATTGTGATAATGCTACAACATTGGTGAACCTTGAAGACATGCTGAGCCGGACACAAAATGACAAATATGTTATGATCTCACTTTTATAAGACACCTAGAATAGTCATATTCACAGACACAGAAAGTACACTGGTGGATACCAGGGGCTAAGGGGAGAGGGTAAGAAAAAATTATTGTTTGATGGGTATGGAGTTTCAGTTTAGGATGATGAAAAGGTTTTGGAGATGGGCAGTGATGATAATTGCACAACAGTGTGTTATGTATATTTCATCACAATAAAAAAAACACAGATAAAAGATCAGCACAGAACCAGAACATTTTAAAATACTATATACAAGGTAAAAAAAATAAAGAACTATAGTAATCCCTACTATTATTATCAATGTATTAAGATATAAGGTAAATAATTGTTGTATTCTCTAAATTACATAAAGCAATCTAAATGAAGCCATTATAAATAATAAATATAATCATGTTATATTGTTACGTTGTACTATGCAATTTCTGTATTTCAATATGTAATTTAACAATTCTAATTAAAAATTTAGAGAACATTATTGCCATTGTACTTATTCTAATAATATTTTATAAAATGAAGAAAATGTGTAAGATGTCTTATTCTTGGAGGTTCTGGCATAAAATGCTGGAGATTAAGTGATAAAACCTACTTCTTAAGAAAGACGCATAACTCATTCAAATAAAATCTATTTTATCCCTATCATAATAGCAGTGAAAAACTTTTTGTAAATTTGTTACCTTGGTTTTCTATCTCCTCCTTGGTCACTTGTTCCAAATCCAGGCTTATGCAGTTTTTTCTTTGGTCCTAGAAGATGACTGCCTAGTTTGTTGAAAATTAGTCAGGATTAAAACCCTGTGAATCCAGGCATGACTGCAAAGAAAAGAAGAGGGCACACGGTCACTAAAGTTGCAAATGCTTTGTCACACAGGGATGTATCTCCTTTTGCCTGAACAAAGAATGATCATCTTCTCCAACTTTCGTAAATATTTTTGTTTGGATTATGGGATTATCCAGAGTTGGTTTTGGGAATAAACAGTTGATATGACTGATGAATCATCAAATTGGAAAGATGTAATTGAGAATGTATATATTAAAATTAAAGAAATTTAAAACCTCCCTATTAAGTTTACTGACCTCATTGGTTGAACGAACCTTTTAAAACATTCTTGGTCAATAGTGCACAAAGATAATCTAGAAACTTGGCTTTGTTTTGAATATTTTAAAAGCACTCATATGTTCATATGACTGCTTTAGTATGGTTCATGTCTAGTAAGATAATAGCTTTTATTTTATTTTTGACACTAACATTAATACCTGAGGAGAAATCTTCTCTCAGTTAAGACAAGATGTGACTTAACAATAAACAACAAAATATTTCACTGAGTTGTTCAAACTGTTTGTCCCCACGGCTGCTCATTCCATAGTAATTCACCGAGGAATCATGCCCCAGAGAAAAGAGCCCTTCCACATGATCTTTCCAGGGTATTCTATATTTTTAGAAGTTTCTCCTTGACAATTACTTTGGAATAATTAGGTGCAAAAAAATTGCACTGTAACATCAAAGAGCAAGTGCCTTATTAAAAACAAAGACACAAATTTGCATGAACAAGATTGCTTTGCTTCTGATTAAAAAGTATACAGTTGAAATTCTCAACTCTAAGAAGGCACCAGAGTAAAATGGAAAGCTTAAGGCTTTGTGTATGGCAAACATACCTAATGAGAATAGCAAAAGATCATTGTTAGTCAACTTACTAAAAGTTTCAATTCAACTCAGATGAGATAACATCCACATATCAAACCCACCTCAGAAATTTCATCCAGAGAGGGGAAAATATTTCTTAAAAAGAAATACAGAAACTAGTAATTAGGACCTATAATTTTAAAATGATTATTATGAAGTAAGATAAGAAAAAATTAAAATACGGAAATATTTGACACTTGATATTCAGATGTCTTTTATATAATAATGGCAGCTCCTGAAGTCAGAATCTCTCTACATATCCTCCAAAAATAACTCAATACATACAGCACAGCAAGTATATAATATCACACATAACTAGGACATTCAGCATAAGTGACACTGAGAATACTATGAAACTCAAATTACCTCTAAATAGAGAAATAAACATCAAATCCCAGCAGAGAGATCCTCTGCTGATCCAGAGAGAAAGGTGAGGGAACCCTGAAAAGACTATAGAGAACAGTAGAGGGAAGTATGAAGCCTAAGGGAGATGGAGCACAGCCAGAATCACCCACAAAAGTGTAAGTCACACTAATTTCAAAATCATTAACGAAAGTGGTTTGATGTCTGATAGAGCAGGATGTTGAGCAGAGGGAAAGAATGAAAATATGCAGGACCTATGATGGTATTCTCCTATTCTCCAAAATGTATCACTTCTGGAGGAGATGAGGATAAGTAGCAAGGAAAGGTACTCTTGGGAGACTTCATGGTAAAGAAAAGTAAGGAAGTAAAAAGAGGAAATTAAAGTCCTGAGGAAACAAAGAAGTATGACAAAATCTAAAGGTATTCTAATTCTTCCTTCCTCACTTAAATTTTGTACTATGCTGAGAAAATTATATTTAAAAAGGCACCTATAAACTAGAAATCTTAGAAAACACACCAAAACCTTAACTCTTACTCTATCTATACAGAAGACTCATTTCAGGACTTCAAAATGAACAGAAGACAAAAATCAGTGTAACTCCATACAAAGTCCTGATAAGAAGAAACCGCAAAAAGAGAACCACAACAATTCAATTCATGACCCCCTCTGAGAGAAGCAAGAGCCAAGAACATTTACAAAAATGTGTATGTTGGGTTTCGAAAAAAATAGTTTCTGCTAGATTTTTTTGCAGGATTTGTTGGTGAGTGCTCTAGGGAATAACACCTGTAACAAAGCAATGGACAGGGAGAGACATTTACATGAACATAATTGCATCAAAGGCCAGTATTACAGGAAATTTCGAGGTAGGGGTGGCCTCAAAGATGTCCTAATCAAGGTAAACAGGTTGAACCTTTTTACCCTTAATTCAATTTGTAATTTGATGCAGGCAAAGGCAAAGATAACCTGGGATGTAACATGCCTGACAGGTATGGATAAGTTTGGTCTCAAAATAAGGAAATTATCAGTTTCAGATTGAAAGGTATTCTGCAAAGCAAATGGGAGATGTTCCTCAAAATGTTAATGCAATAAAAAGTTAAAGAAGTACTAGAAAGCTGTTCAGGATAAAATAAAGTGAAATATCAACTAAATTTAATGTATGACCCCAGATTTGATGCTGAACTCCCCCAAAAAATTCTATAGAAAACATTGGGCCCAGAGTGGAGTCACACACCTGTAGTCCCAAGTACTCTGGAGGTTAGGGCAGGAAGATTGTGAGTTCAAGCTCAGCCATGGCAAAATAGTGATACCCTGACTCCAAAGGAGAAAAAAGTAAAAAGAAAACATTATTGTAGAGACCTTCCACCACTCTGGTTAGTTGTATTCCTAGGTATTTCATTCTGTTTGTGGAAATTATGAATGAGATTGCATTCCTGATTTGGTTCTTAGCTTGATTGTTGCTGGTGCACAGGAATGCTAGTGACTTTTGTACATTGATTTTGTATCCTGAGACTTTGCTGAAGTTGTTTATCAGATCAAGGTGTTTTTGGACAAGACTATGGGGCTTTCTAAATACAGAATTATGTTGTCTGCAAACAGGAATAGTTTAAGTTCCTCTCTTCCTATTTTCTTTCACTTATTTCTCTTACCTGATTGCTGTGGCCAGGATTTCCAGTACTATGTTGAAGAGGAGTTGTGGGGGAGGGCATCTTTATCTTGTGCCAGTTTTTAAAGGGAATGAGTCTAGCTGTTGCTCATTCAGTATGATGTTGGTTGTGGGTTTGTCACAGAAGACATTATTTTGAAGTATTAATACATTCCTTCAATGCCTAGTTTATTGAGGTTTTTTAACATAAAGCATTGTTGAATTTTATCAATAGCCTTTTCTGCATCTATTTAAATTATTATGTTATTTTTGCTTTTAGTTCTATTTATGTGATCAATTACATGTACTGATTTGCATATGTTGAATCAACTTTGCATTCCAGGAATAAAGCATACTTGATCGTGGATGATTAGATTTTTGTTGTGCTGTAAGTTTCAGTTTGCTAATATTTTGTTAAGAATTGTTGCATCTATCTTCATCAAAGATATTGTCCTGAAGTGTTCTTTTTATGTTGTGTATCTGCCATGTTTGGGTGTCAGGATAATGCTGGCCTAACAGAATGACTTAGGAAGGAGTCCTTCCTACTCAGTTTTTTGGAATACTTTCCATAGGAATTGTATCACCTTTTCTTTATACATCTAGTAGAATTCAGCTGTAAATCCATCTGGTCCTGAGCTGATTTTTGTTAGTAGGCTTTTTATTACTTATTCAATTTTGGAAGTCATTATTGATCTGTTCAGGAATTTAGTTTCTTCCTGGTTTAGTCTTGGGAGGTTTTATGTATTCAGAAATTTATTCATTTCTTCTAGATTTTCTAGTTTCTCTGCATAGAGATGTTTATAGTAGTCTCTGAGGGTTTTTTGTATTTCTGTGGGTTCAGTGGTATCATCCTCTTTGTCATTTCTAACTGTGTTTATTTGGATCTTCTATCTTTTCTCTTCATTAGTCTAGCTATTTGTCTATCTTACTTATTCTTTCAAAAAACAAACTCCTGAATTTGTTAATCTTTTGTAAAATTTTTTGTGTATTAATTTTTACCAGTTCAGCTCTGATTTTGGTTATTTCTTGACTTTCACTAGCATTGGGGTTGGTTTGCTCTTTCTTCTCTAGTGCCACTAGCTGTGAGGTTGTTAATTTGAAATATTTCTAACTTTTTGATGTGGGCATTTAATGCAATGAACTTCCCTTTTCACCACTGCCTTAAGTGTGTACCAGAGATTTTTAAGTTGTATTTTTTCTAATTAATTTCAAAGATCTTCTTGATTTTTGCCTCAATTTCTTTATTTACTCAAAAGTCATTCAGGAGCGGATTGTTTAATTTCCATGTATTGTAAGGTTTGTGAAATTTTCTTATTTTTGAGAAAATCTGAAAGCGTGGTTGGTATGATTCCAGTTTTACTGAATTTGCTGAGTATTGTTGTATGTTCAGTTGGGTTGATTTTGGATTTTGTGCCATGTGACGATGAGAAGATTGTATATCCTGTTGTTTTGTGTTGGGGAATTCTATTAGATCCATTTGGTCTAGTGTTGAGTTCAGGTCCTGAATATCTTTGTTAGTGTTCTGTTTTAATAATCTTATACTGTCGGAGGGATGTTGAAGTTTCCCACTATCGTTGTGTGGGAACCTAAGACTTTTTGTAGGTCTCTAGAAACTTGCTTTATTTATCTGGGTGCATCATTGTTCCATGCACATATATTTAAAATAGTTAGTTCTTGTTGAATTGAACCCTTTACCATTATGTAATGCCCTTCTTAGTCTTTTTTATCTTTGTTGGTTTAAAGTCTGTTTCTTTTCTGAAATTAGGATGAGAACCCTTGCTTTTTCTGTTCTCTGTTCGCTTGGTAGATTTTTCTCCATCTCTTTACTTTGAGTCTCTGGGTGTCATCGCATGTGAGATGGATCTCTTGAATACAGCATACCATTATTGGATCTTAGTTCTTTATCAAGCTTTCCACTCTGTGGCTTTTAATTGGGGCATTTAGCCCATTTACATTCCAAGTTAGTATTGATACGTGTGGATTTGATCTGGTCATTGTGTTGTTAGTTGGTTATTAAGCAGCCCTGTTTGTGTGGTTGCTTTATAGTGTCACTGGTCTGTGTAGTCAAGTGTGTTTTTGTAGTGGCTGTAATAGTCTCTCCATATTTAGTTCTCATTTTAGGATCTCTTGTAAGGCATGTCTGGTGGTAACAAATTTCCTCAGCATATGCTTGTCTGAGAAGATTTTTTTTTTCTTTTTCAGTTATGAAGCTTAATTTGGCCAGATTTGAAATTCTTGATTGGAAATTCTTTTCTTAAAAATGCTGAATAGAGACCTCTATTCTGGCTTGTAGGGTTTCCTGCTGGAAGGTTCACTATCAGCGTGACGGAGTTCCCTTTGGAAGTGACCTGCCCTTTCTGTATAGTTACCTTTAAAAATGTTTTTTTCATTTCAATTTTGGAGAATCTGATTATTACGTGTCTTGGGAATGTTCTTCATGTGTATTAACTCACAGGGGTTCTCTACATTTCCTGAGTTTGAATGTTTCCCTCTCAAGCAATGTTGGCAAAGTTTCCATGAAGTACATCCTGAAATATGTTTTCCAAGTTTCTTGCTTTCTCCCTATCTCTTTCAGGGACACCAATGAGTCACAGACTTGGTCTCTTTACATAATCCCAATTTCTGAGAAGTTTTATTTATTTTTTAAATTCTTTTTTTCTTCATTTTTGTCTGAGTGAGTTATTTCAAAGAGCCAGCTTTTGAGTCTGAGATTCTTTCCTCAGGTTTGCTTGTTCTGCTGTTAATAATTGTGATTGCATATGCAATTCTTGTAGTGTGTTTTTCAGTTCTACCAAATCAGTTTTTTTCATAATAGTTATTTCATCTAGCAGCTCCTGTATCATTTTACTATAATCCTTAGATTCCCTGGAATAGATATTAACTTTCTGCTGTATTTCAATGATCTTCATTCCTATCTGTATTGTGAATTCTATTTCTGTCATTTCAGCCCAATTAAGAATGGTTATTTGGGAACTAGTGCAGTCATTTGGAGGAAAAAAGCCATTCTGGCTTTTTGAGTTACCAGAGTTACTGTACTGGTTCTTACTCATCTATGTTAGCTGCTGTTCCTGTAACTGTGGCATAACTTGAGTACAGTCAGTAGACTTCTTTTCAGGATGTTTTCAGAGGGCCAAGGCTTTGTGCAAGGTCTTTATTTGTAGCTGAATTATTGTCCTTGGTTTCACAAGGGGGCATACTAACAAAGTATTTTTGGTGCTGAATTTTGGTCTGTGATCCAGTAGGTGGCGTTTAAGCAAACTGGCCAGTAGGTCAGCTCTTGCTCAGCCACATGGCTCCTCTGTATTTACTCACAGTTGCAGCCATGCTTCCTCTCAGTGCTCTGAAAGTGTGGGTTCCTCTCCCACTGAGTGCTGGCTGAAGATCTTGGCTTGGCACTCCCAGGCTGCACACTGCAGCTCTGGGGCAATCTTGGGCTTTATGTGTCCTCCCCAGCTTGGGGAAAACAAGGAAGGGACCTTAGCAGTGGTTGTCACAGGGGATCTTTCACTTGTTTCTCGAGGCTCCACCCAAAGAGATGTGGAGCCACTATCAATCAGTGTAATCAACCCAGGATGAAGTGGCTGTGCTGTGGGCCCAAGCCACGGAGCCTGCCTGGTAATAAATGAGGCACAGACTGGCCCCTTCTCCTTAAGGCACTTGCAACTTTCAGGAGGTGTAGTTAAAACACTCAGTTTCTTTGCTCCTTCCTCAGTCTGAGGGCAGCAAGGGAAGTATTGCTGCAGTGGCAGTGGGAGAGAGGCTTTCAGTTGCCTCTGGGAGCTACACTTCAGAGAAATGCAGAGCTGCTTCTACTGGAAATGTTCAACCAGAGTGTGGGATGCTGCACTGCTGGCCTGAACTTGGGGCTCCCCTTGTTAAGGAGCAAGGGTCAAGGACTCCCAGAAAGGTGAGACTGAGCTCCTCTCTGTATGGTGACCGTGGTGTACGGGGAACACAGGTGAAGTCCTCAGGCTCTTTGTTTCTTCCTCAGACTGAGCACAGCAAGGGCACAACAGCTGCTGTGGCAGTGGAAGAGTGGTAATTATTTTCCTCTGGAAGCCCCTCTTCAGGGGATCTCAGAGCCACTACCTCTGCGTGTGCTCAGCCATGGCAGGGGTTACTGATCTTCTATCTGCAGCCAGAGGCCCTGCCTGGTGAACAGTGGGGCATGGAGGATCACAGGGAAGAGGATCTGGAACCCTCTCCATATGGTGATTGCAGTGTGTTGGAGGTGCCAGTGCAGTGACTAAGACCTTTTTTCCTTCCTCAGCCCAAGGGTAGTTAGGCCAGTACCACTGCAGCTGCAATGGCAGAGAGCTTGTGGGTTGTCACTGAGATTTCCTCCCCAGTGAGCTGCACAGCTGCTTCCAACTGTTCAGGCTGAGACAGGGTCATTGTGCTGGAGTCACAGGTTGGGAGGCCCTGACCAGTAAGGGGAAGCAGGATCACTGACCCAGGTGGAAAATGGTCTGGTCACTTTTTCCGTGAGGCTGCTGCATTGTGCTGAGGATCCACCCAAATTCCTAGTCACCACACACCCACCAGAGCCTGAAGGCAACAGTACCAAGGGCTGCAAGAAAGCAAAAATGGTGGCTTGCTTCTCCCTGTGGGAGCTTTTTCTCAGGGAAGTGCAGAGCTCTTTCTAGCCTGAGAGCCAAGGAGGGTCAGGGTGTTGGCTGGAGTCCCAAGTCAGGAGGTCCTACCCACTGAGGAGAAGGAGGACTGGAGACCAGTGTAAAAAAACAGTCTGGCTGCGTTTTTGTAGGGCCACTATGTTGTGCTGGGGAATCGACATCTGTCCATAGTCACTGTGCACCCCCCAGAGCCTGCAGGCCAATAGCAAGAGGAAGGAGAGAGACCAGAAATGGAGGGTTGCCCCTCTCAGAGGGAGGAAGCTCCGTCGCAGAGAAGGATGGAACTGCTACTAATCTGAGAAATCTGGTGGATTAGATTCCCATGTCAGTGGGCCTTCTCCTTCCAGGCGCAGTAGAGGTGAAACCTGCAGTCAGTCACTCCTTAGGCCCCTGGATTTGACCACTTTCCTGGGAGAATGCAAGAGAGCCTGACCTCCCCAATATCCAGAGCTGCCTCCACTCCATTTTGGCAGCAACATACAACATACTTGGATATGTGCCATTGATTAGTGAGTTACCTATAAAGTGGCCAGTTTTGAGTGAATGCAGAAGAATAGAAGATTGTATGAAAGGTCCTGGTTGTATTACAAACTATCCTGAAAGAAAGGTCTTTTGACTATGCAGATTCAATTGTACTCAGACATTTTTATGGCAGAAAGGGGTGGTAATATAGGCTTTTGGCAAGCCCCAGTAGGAGGGTCACAGTGCAAACCCCTAGTATTTTTAATGACTCCATGCACTCTTCTTTTGACAAATATTATCCCTTTGGCAAAGCTTCCCAAAAGCTTGCTAACAGGCCTTGATAAAAATCAAATTCAACTATGGAACTCCAAGAGACTATGAGAACACAAAAGTTCTTTGTAAAGTAGGTATTATTTTAGTCAACAAATTGTAAATATGTATATGTAGAACTGCACTCCATTTTTAAAATGGAAATCATTTATATAAATCTGGGCCCAAGTAGGTTCAGAAGACACAAATAATTTGTTTGAGCATATGACTCAAATTCCCATATTAACTGCTCCTTTTGTTTCATCTCCTTTCTCTCTCATCCATGCCTAAGGTTTCATAAGGAGTAACCTAAAAAAGTTAACAGATTTTTTAAAGGCCAAAATGACTTACGTAGGTGAGTTTACACAATATGCTGACTTCTGGCAGAATATTGTTGCATTACAGTCAAACAAGGGCATCTTAAAAGGGAGCCATGAATAAAATATCCAAAGTGGACATTACTTCAGGAGTTATATCTGGGTAGGAATATTGCAAAGAAGAGATGACCTGAGGCATAGATCTACTCCATTTATGGCTTGGTCAGCTGGTCAGGAAATTGAAAAGATCTTGGAAAGAAGAAGATTTAAATGTCAATGACAAAAGATGTAGAACTCAGTGGATGGAAGACTCAGAATGGGAGCAACATATAAAGATGTTTATGTTCCATATAAATGCCAATCAGACCTCAACGAAAAGACTCTTGATGATCAAATTAACATGATGATCCATTTTAAATGTCGGTGAAGGTCCATTCAAGTCCTCAGAGCTTGCTAAATGTTTCCATATACAAGCAGGCTCTAACGACAGTTGAATATTATGCATGGGCTCGGTAACATGGATTTGCCCTCACTAAGGTTGATTTGATAACCACTGTAGCAAAATGTTAAGCCTAATATCAGTGAAGGCCATCACAGGGAACCCAATTAAGCACCAATCACCAGGGGACCAGTCAGATATAATGATGCCATATTTATTACATTAGTCCCAGTCAAACACAAAAGAGACAGCGATTTGTTTTCAAAGTAATAGATATATTTTATTTCTATCACTAGTGTACATAGATTCACAGAACTTTTGTTTATTGTCGTGAAATTGAATCCAATATTGTCTCTAATGAAGAAAGCTACCTTGCAGCAATGCAATGGGCTCATATTTATAAACTTCACTGATCTCACAGCTTTCATCATAATCTGGAAGCACCTGACATGATAAAATGACGAAATAGGCTGCTGAGGGTTCTATGACAGTGTCATCTGGGAGAAAAGAGAGAATACAAAACAACACTGGTTTGCTATGCTACAGCATGTAATATAGTCTTAAGCCAAGAGTTACACCTCAATCAAGACCATCTCTCCTGTAGTCAGAATGAACAAGTCTTTGAACCAACTGTGGAGGTCAGGGTGGTGCTTGTCATTACACCTAATATATATAGTAACCCACTTAAGGTATTTTTTATTCATGTTCTTGGAAGTTTCTCTCTGGTTTGTTTGAAAACTCAGGGCCCAAAGATGGAATGCTTCTACTAATGAATACAGTCATTGTTCTTTTAAAATTTAAATGAGAACTGTCACATGATCAGGTAGAGTTCCCTGCGCTGACCAAACATGCAGCTCATTGTACTGAACTGAGCACTTCATCCTTATTAACAAAGGGAAGCTGGGTTGCTGCACACAAATGAAGACACGGGAGACTAATTCTGCACCCTCCTATTACTGCCATGCCTGCTAGAGGACAATGAGTAGAGGCAAACTAATAAAATATTTACAAATTCGAATCCTATGGTAATGAATGTTTGAAATATGCAGCTGGGTTAAATACTCCAATCAGCTGAGGAACTGGCAAAAAGTAAAAGCAATATAAAATGGATGGTGGAAGACGAAGTAATCATTATTAATATGACAAGCCTAAAAAGCTTGGACTGAAGCATGTGTTTTATTTTTGGTAATAGTTTCACTAGCCATTTCTCTTTTATTTCTCCTCCCCATTACTCTAAATAATAGCACTGGCGGTTCATATTTCAATTTGGTTTGAGGTGGGAGTATGTATAATTTGAAACCAATTCATGATAGGGAAGGTGAAGGGATTTTGTATGTTCCTTGTGTTTGGGACAGAGTTTTACTTCCTGGCCAAAAGCCAAAAGTGGATGGTAGGAGCGAAAAAGGATGAATTGTTATGGATATACTACATTTTCTTCTGCAGATCCACTTCTAATGTTTCCACTGCGTTTTCAGCTCTAGGAAGCTAACTCATGCAAAGCACTTTTCCTTGTGGGTCATGGTTTGGAAATTTCCAGTCTCTTTAACTAAGCCATATCTCCTTACCAGTGACCTCTCCTCCTCTGCTACAGCTATCACCATCTGAAACAAATCTCTCCTTTGCCCCTTCAGAACAAGGGATGATCATGATTTCCCACTATTGCTAGCCCTGGGTATTTTACCATTTTTTTTTTAAGTGATTAACTCTGCAAACAATTCGTAAATAGTCTTCAGCTGTTCCTCTGAAGAGTGGTGTCTGTTCCTGTCAGGATACTGAAATATAGCTGGGGGTGACAATTTTTAATGAGCACATTTTTTAAAGGAAATACCACAGGCATCCCCATTGAAGCTAAAATTCAATCAAGTTTTCCTCTATCCAATTATTGTCTCATTTTTATACCAATTAACACGCACTAATATAATGAGAAATATAATATAAAATATTAGAAAGACAAATTCTTAAAATGATATTTTTGTCTAGCAAATCCAAAAGTGTTAACTAAAAATCTATTACATTAAATAAGAGAGTCCAGTACAGTGCCTGAATTCAAGATTCAACTTTCTTGAATATAAGACATAATGATTATCTAGAAGATATGATGTGGAAAGGATACCTTTCATTCATGTAACCCAAATTACAAAACATAATCAGAAACAAAAAATGTGAAGACTAATATGAAAACAACAAACAAACAAAAAAGAATTAGTGAGGAATCTCAGCAACCTAAATAAATAAATGCAGACACTTTTCATGTTGCCAGATAGAATGATTTAATGTATTCAAGATTTCAATTATTTTCCAGATTAATTATTAATTATACTCTCAGTCAACAGCCTCAGCAATTTCTGCAATCTTGTAAGATTACTCAAATATTAATGTTGAAAAATTTTGTTTAATAAGAGTATTCAATGATAGGCCTATTATCAGATATAAAAAATCTATTTACATGAACTAAAATAGTGGGGTACTGGCTTAGGAATAATCATTCAATCAAAAGAGATACTTTCCACATAGATATATAAATATTTGGACATTAAGTATGACAAACAGGGCATACTAGATTAGGAAACGAGTTTGAACTTTTTTATTCATGTGTTTTAAAAATTGGTTTTAGGGCAAATGAAAACCATTTGAAAAATAGTTTTAAATCTTTATACGTATGTACACACAAAGAAACACACGTATACACAAACATTATCTTTTTCTCTAAAATCTCCCCATACACATAAATATATGTACACTCAAAGCTTTAAATAAGAAAAAAAATTAAGTGAGCTAGAAGAAAATATTTATGAATTAAGTAATCTTTAATTAGAAAACACAAAATTATAATAAAATATGATTGACAAATATCATTGAAATAAAAAGTATAACCCTTTGACAATATAAAAACTAGAAAATTTTTTTTGTTTAATTTACAAGTTTTTGTCAATAAAAAGATTTTCAGCATGCCAATGAAATTAAAGTATGTGAAAATTGAATTCATAAAAGGAGTATCAATGGTAAACTATCTCCCTATTAACAAAATGAATATAAATTGTTAATTTAAAGTGACACCAGTTTGCTTACATAATGCAGCTCACAAATATTAGTAAAATCTATGTTCAGTAAGGCTGTTGTGAACAGCAACAAAAATGTATAAGAGAAATTCATTAAAAGATATGAAAGGACTTTTTATAAAATTTTTCAAAATTTAAGATCATTAAAAAAGATGTGAATACAAACTTGTTATATTTATGAGTAGGAAGATTCAATATTACAAAGATGTCAGTTCTTTCCTAACTTATTGACAGCTTCAATGCAATTTCAATAAAAATCCCAACAGATTTTTTAAAACATGACAAGCTGTATATAAACATGAACCAGATGTATATGGAGAAACAAAGGACCAAGAAAGATAAAGCAATTAATTTTAAGAAAAGGCAAATGTTATGAGATTCCGTCTCAGATTTAAACAGTTATTATTCAGTTATGGCAATAAACAAGGTTAGAAATAAATGAATTAGTTGACCAGAATAAAGTAGAACTAGACTCAAACATAGATGAAAACCTGTTGTGTGAAAGGATTGATAAATGATGCTTAGACAGCCAAGTATCTACATTAAGAGAAAAATGAAACTGAATATATATTTCACAATGTACATAAAAATTAATATTCTGTGAATTAAAATTGAAAATTAAAAATTGCACAATTTTACAATCTTTAAAAAACAATATAGAATGATATTTTCCTGGCCATATGACAGAGAAGAACTTCTTAAGTAAAATATAGAAATGCTGACTATACACATAAAGACAGAAATTTTACTACATTAAGAAGTTTCTATTCTCCAAATATACTACAAATGTATAGTAATCAAAAGAGCATGGTTCCATAGACCAATGGAAAAAAGCAGAGAGCCCAGAACTAAATCAGCCATATAGTCAATTGGTTTTTGATAAAGGTGCCTAGAACACAAAAAAGAAAAAAGACAGTACCTTCAATAACTGGCATTGGGACACCTAGCTAGCCACATGCAGAAGAATGAAATTAGACCCTTATCTCATATTATGTACAAAAGTCAACTCAAAATGGAATAAAGAAAATAAAGACTTAAATGTGGTAAGACCTGAAACTATAAAACTGTTAGAAGAAAACAGTGGGAAATCTCCATGATATTGGTCTGGACAATGATTTTTTGGATATGCACAGACAACCAAAAGCACAAAGATAAATGGGATTACATTGAACTAAAAACCTTCTGTAAAGAAAGGAAACAATTAACAGTGTGGAAAGACAACCTACAGAATAGAAGAAACATATTTGCAAACCGTATAACTGATAAAGGCTTAATATCCAAAATACATAAGGAATTCAAACAACTCAATAGAAAGAAAAATAGTGCAAATATAAAATAGGCAAAGGATCTTGTATTGGTTGTCATGTTCCTGATAAAGACATACCTGAGACTGGGAAATTTACAAAAGAAAGAAGTTTAATGGACTTATAGTTCCACATGGCTGTGGAGGCATCACAATCATGGTGGAAAGCAAGGAGGTGCAAGTCATGTCTTATATGAATGGCAGCAGCCAAGGAGAGAGAGCTTGTCCAGGGGAACTCCTCTTTATAAAACCATCAGAACTCATGAGACTTATTCACTATCACAAGAACACCACAGAAAAGACTTGCCAGTATGATTCAATTACCTCCCACTGGGTCCCTCCCACAACACATGGGAATTCAATATGAAATTTGAGTGGAGACACAGCCAAACCATATCATTCCACCCATAGCCCCTCCTATATCTCATCTTTTCATATTTCAAAATCAATCTTGCCTTCCCAACAGTCTCCCAAAGTCTTAACTCATTTCAGCATCAACTCAAAGTTCACAGTCTAAAGTCTCATTTGAGATAAGGCAAGTCCCTTCTGCCTATGAGCCTGTAAAATCAAAAGCAAATTAGTTACTTTTGAGATACTTCTGAGATACTTCTGGGGTACAGGCCTTGGGTAATACAGTCATTCCAAATGGGAGAAATTGGCCAAATCAAAGGGGCTACACAGCCAATGCAAGTCCGAAATCCAGCAGGGCAGTCAAATCTTACAGCTCCAAAATGATCATCTCTTTTGACTCCATGTCTCACATCCAGGTCATGCTGATGCAAGAGGTAGGTTACCATGTTCTTGGGCAGCTCCACCATGTGGTTTTGCCCTCTTCTCACAGTTCCAAAGCTCCCCTATGCAGGGACTCTGTGTCAGGGTTCCAACCCCACATTTTCCTTCTACCCTGCCCTAGCAAAGGTACTCCATGAGTGCCCCAGCCCTGCAGCAAACTTCTGCCTGGACATCCAGACGTTTCCATTCATTCTCTGAAATCTAGGCAGAGGTTGCCAAACCCCAATTCTTGACTTCTGTGCACCTACAGGCTCAATGCCATGTGGAAGCTGCCAAGGCTTAGGGCTTGCACCCTCTGAAAACATGGTCTGAACTGTACCTTGGCCCCTTTTAGTCACAGCTGGAGCAGCTGAGATGCAGGGCACGAAGTCCCTAGACTGCACACACCAGAGGAACCCTGGGCCAGGCCCATGAAACCTTTTATTTTCTTCTAAGCCTCCAGGCCTGTGTTGGGAGGGGCTGCTTCAGAGTTCTCTGATATGCCTAGGAGACACTTTCTACAGTGTCTTGATGATTAACATTTGGCTTGTGACTTATGCAAATTTCTGCAGCTGGTTTAAATTTCTTCTTGGAAAATGGAATTTTCTTTTCTATCACTATTGTATAGTAAGGCTGCAAATTTCTTTTCTATCACTATTGTAAGGCTGCAAATTTTCCAAACTTTTATGCTCTGCTTCCCTTATAAAACTATTGCTTTCAATAGCACCGAAGTCACGCTTTGAATGCTTTGCAGATTAAAAATTTCTTCTGCCAGATACCATAAATCATCTCTCTCAAGTTCACAGTTCCACAGAACTCTAGGGCAGGGGCAAAATGCCACCAGTGTCTTTGCTAAAATGTAACAAGAGTCACCTTTGCTCCAGTTCCCAAGAAGTTCCTCATCTCCATCTGAGACCACCTCAGCCTGGATTTCATTGTCTACACCATTATCAGCATCTTGGTCAAAGCCATTCAACAAGTCTCTAGAGAGTTTTAAACTTTCCCATGTTTTTCTGTCTTTTTCTGAGCCCTCCAAACTGTCCCAACCTCTTCCTGTTACCCAGTTCCAAAGTCGCTTCCTTATTTTCGGGTATCTTTTCAGCAGTGCCCCACTCTCGGTACCAATTTACTGTATTAGTTTATTTTCACACTGCTGATAAAGATGTACCCAAGACTGGGCAATTTACAAAAGAAAGAGGTTTAATAGACTTACAGTTCCACATAACTATGGAGGCCTCCCAGTCATGGCAAAAGGCAACTAGGAACAAGAGATGTCTTATATGAATGGCAGCAGACAAGCTTTCTGACAGCTTGTGCAGGGAAAGTCCTCTTTATAAAACCATCAGATCTCATGAGACTTACTCACCATCATGGGAACAGCAGGAGAGAGACTTGCCCCCATGATTCAATTACCTTCCACCAGGTCCCTCCTACAACACGTGGGAATTCAAGATGAGATCTGAGTAGGGACACAGCCAAACCATATCAGATTTGAGTAAGCATTTCTCTAAACATGACATAAAAATGACCAATATGTGTATAAAAATGCTCAAAATCACTAATCATCAGAGGAATGCAAAATAAAACCACAATTAAATGTTATCTCACACCTATTAGACTGGCTATTATCAAAAAGACAAATGACAACAAGTGTTGGTGAGGATGTGGAGAACAGAGAACCCTTGCACACTGTTACTAGTAATGTAAATTAGTACAGCTATTATGGAAAACAGCATGAAGCGTTCTCAAAAATTAAAGCTATCATATGACCCAGCCATCCCATTGCTAGGTATATATTATTTTTTAAAAAGAAAATCAGTATGGTGGGTGCACTGGTTCACACCTGTAATTCCAGCACTCTAGGGGGCTGTGGCAGGTGGATCACTTGAGGTCAGGTGTTCGAGATCAGCCTGGCCAACTTGGCCAAATTCCATCTTTACTAAAAATGCAAACAAAAATTAGTCAAGTGTGCTGCTACATGCCTGTAATCCCAGCTACATGGGAGGCTGAAGCAGGAGCATTGTTTGAACCCAGGAGGCAGAGGTTGCAGTGAGTTGAGGTCACGCCATTGCACACCAGCCTGGATGGCAAGAGTGAAACTCAGTCTCAAATTAAAAACAAAGAAAAATTAAATTAAAAACTCAGTCTCAAATTAAAAACTGAGAAAAATAAAGAAAATCAGTATGTCAAAGAGATATCTGCACAACTACATTCATTGCAGCATTATTCACAATAGCCAAGATACAGAATCAACTGAAGTGCCCACCGGTGGATGAATGGATAAAGAAAATGTGGTACATATACACAATGAATACTATTTAGCATTTAAAAGGAAGGAAATCTTGTCATTTGTGGCAATGTGGATGAAACTGGAGGACATTGCATTAAGCTATAACCCAGGCATAGGAAGACAAATATCACATAATCTCACTTATATGTGAAATCCAAAAAAGTTGAACTCATAACAGTAGAAAGTAGAATAGTGGTTACCAGGCGTGTTGGGGAGATTTTGGTCAAAGAATACACAATTTCAATTGTATAGAAGGAATAAATTCAAGAGATCTATTGTACAACATGGTGACTATAGTTAGTAACAACCTATTCTTGAAAATTGCTAAGACAGTAGATTTTAAGTGTTTTCATCACAAAAATATGATGACTATGTAAGGCAATGCATATGCTAAATAGCTCAATTTAATCCTTCCCCAATGTATACATGTTTTAAGACAACATATTGTATATAATAAATACATGCAATTTTTATTTGTTTAATAAATAAAGAAAAAATGAAATCATGAGGCTTTTATTCATCAAATGAAATGAGAAGTATAAAAAAGGAAATCACAAACTGAGAAAATGTTTGCAATACATATAAACAATAAGGATTCAATACACAGGTTTCCTAAAGAAGTCCAATAAATTAAAAATAATAGAAAACAACCAGTAGAAAAGTTGGTAAGATACATAAATACACATTTCATAGAAAATTAGAAAAAAATGAGATTCAATAAACACGTTAAGAATATACTCAACTTCAGTGGCAATAAAGACTGCAAATTAAAACCACAATGAACTTACAGCCTTAAAGCTATTACATTAGGAAAAATTATCAAACATCTCACTATAGTGAGGTGTTGGTAAGGATGTAGAGCAATGGAACTGTTATGCACTGTTGGTAGAAGTAACTTAACTGGTTAAGGAGGTGATTAATAATACATTAGGAAAAAAATGCAGTAATCTGTAAAAGTGTATAAGCATTATTTTTAACACAAAATAATTTTTTCAGGATGTCCATAGCTGCATATTGTGCAACATGAATTAAAAAAAAAACATAAACACTGCAAATGGCCTCTGATTGAACCAATGCATAATTGGTGGTATATTCACACATGGAATAATATACAGCACGGAAAATTAAGAGACTAAAGCAACATACAGTAATATAATCAAATCTTAGAATGTTTACATTGTGAAAGAAAGTAAAATTCAGAAAACTATGGATAATACAATTTTAATAAAGGCAAGGAATATGAAAATCTAAACAATACCTTTTAAGGAAAAGTACATATGTAATTAAACTATTTTAACTATGATTAACAAAAACTTTAGTGTTTGGTTTATCCCTGGGGAGAAAAAGAGGAATGGCATCAGCGTGGTAGACACAGGTAGTTTCAATTACATTGATAATATTCTGAATTTCACATATCATTTGATGTGCATACAAATTATAAAATTTTCAAGTAATTTAAGTTATAAAATATGTTTTCATTTAGAAAAGTAAATTCTTGTACATGAGATCTCTAGACTTGCTCATTTTTCATTTCTTCTTCTGTTACATTATATCCTCTGACTAATATACAGCATGAGGACAATAGGTAATAAAATTTTACTGTATTTGGTATTCATGCTAAAAGAGTAGATGTTATCTGCTTTTCCACAAAAAGTGAGTATTTTAGATGATGCATATATTAATTTGCTTCACAATAGTAACCTTTTTACTCTCTACATGTATCCCGTAACATCATGTTGTATATTCAACATACAAAAAAATTTATTTTAAAAAACTAACTCTTACAAAGCATAGATAGTGTTCTATATTATAATGAAAACAATTCAATCTTCTTGTTTTCTGATGTCCTAAGGTGGCTGCACACTGAGAAAAACTTGTTTTTTATCATGAAATTGAAAACCAAAATTTTGCTTACACAACAAATCTATTTAAGTCTATTAGCAGTTTAAATACAACATTTAGAAAACATGTTGCTTATGCTAAATAACACTTTTCCTTATCCATATTTTCAGCATCATGAATATAAGAAGCTTTGCCTTTTCTTCAGAGAGTGGCAAAAAAGCACATGAGAACAAGCAAGGAAAATCATAAAAATGTGTTTATAACTTGAATTAGTATGATTCTAAAAACTAAAGTATTTTTTTCCTGCAGTAAAGAACTAGCATCTGTTTTCATCATTATCTACATTCCATCTTACAAAATTGTTCACTAAGAGTGCCTTTTTAAATTTTTATTTATTTTTTATTTTTTTTTCACGGTTCCTTTCTCTTTATTTATTTATTTATTTATCTATTTATTTATTTTTTATTATTCTACTTTAAGTTTTAGGGTACATGTGCACATTGTGCAGGTTAGTTACATATGTATACATGTGCCATGCTGGTGTGCTGCACCCACTAACTCATCATCTAGCATTAGGTATATCTCCCAATGCTATCCCTCCCCCCTGATGGAGTCTCACTCTGTCACACAGGCTGAAGTGCCATGGCACAATCTTGCCCCACTGAAAGCTCCACCTCCCGGGTTCAAGCAGTTCTCTGCCTCAGCCTCCCAAATAGCTGGGATTACAGATGCCTGCCACCAATCCCCAGTAATTTTTGTATTTTTAGTACAGATGGGGTTTCACCATCGTGGCTGGGCTGGTCTTGAACTCCTGACCTTGTGATCCACCTGCCTCGGCCTCCCAAAGTCCTACGATTGCAAGTGTGAGCCACTGCACCTAGCCAATCCTGTCTTTCATTAAAGACAATATCATCTGTCATCCAAATATCCTGAACTGGAAATGCATAGACATGACTTGCGGAATGGAAGCAACCTTAAAACAAAATTAATAACACAGAAAGCTGCTTTACTAATAGAATAATAAAAAAATAAGATTTAAAAACAACTCTCTTTTCCCCAGAAATCTGTTTTAAGTATTAGCCAAATTGCTTTCTCATGAATTTGGGTAAAAGTACATCTACAGAAGTGGCTTGTGTTTTCTCTTTTGAAAATAATCAATAACTTTAAGTCCTAATTCAATATAAACTGAGAAAAATAAAGTTACAAGGTGAGCTTGGTTTTATTTTTACTTGTACCAAGACCTTTTATTCAGTACCTGTGATTTTATTCATTCTCCAAATTTCTCTTTAGATTTATTCTAGTCTCAGTGGATAATTTATACTACTTTTCTGATGGCTTTATGTAGATAGAGAGAAGCATCCCTACAGAATCTGTTGAATTGACTGCAGTATTTTACCGCCTATTTGTTGCCTTAGAACTAGGAATAAATATGTTCAGTGTGGGAGATACTCTTTTTCTAACTATACTTAACTTTTCACACCAGAGATTTTTCATAGCATTTTTCATCTCTGATTGTCTCAACGAGTATATTAAAGGATTCAACATGAGTGTGATAATTGAATAAAACACAGTCATTAATTTATCAAAGGGAAAGTTGGAAACGGGTCTAACATACATAAAAATACAGGGAACAAAAACGAGGGCAACCACAATGATGTGGGAGATGCAGGTAGGCAGGGCTTTATGCCTCTCTTCCTGACTGTAAGTTTTAAGGAAGTTTAGGATGACTCCACAGGAGATTAGCAGAAAGGTAAAGATGACCATACAAATTATTCCACCATTGGCAACCACAGTGAGTCCTATAAAGTAGGTGTCAAGGCACAACAGTTCCAACAATGGGTACATGTCACAGACAGAGTGGTCAATAACATTGGGGCCACAGATTGGTAGACTGTACAGAAAGACAATTTGAACCACAGAGTGCACAAAACCTCCAATCATGGCCACCACCAACAGAAGGATGCAAACCAGTCGATTCATGATGTTCAAATAGTGCAGCGGCTTAGAGATAGCCACATAGCGATCATAGGCCATCACCACCAAAAGGAAGACCTCTGCACCACCAAGTAAGTGTTCTATGAAGAGCTGACCCATGCAAGCTGACAAGGAAATAGCGATTTTATCACAGAGTAAGTCTATCATCAATTTGGGTGACATGGCAGTGGAATATATGGCATCCATAAGTGACAAGTAGGCAAGGAAGAAGTACATTAGGGAGCCCAAGGAGGGGCTGCCAATAGTAGTCACCCAAATGAGGAGGTTTCCCACCATTGTCACAATGTATATGAGTAAAAACATGACAAATAATGTTTTTTTCACATCAGGATCTTGAGTGAGGCCCAGGAGGACAAATTCTGTAACATTGCTGCTTGGTCTCATTTACTCTTCTTTCAAGCTTATATCAGAAATGAGAGCTCAGGAGAACAGGGACTGTAATGAAATAGTGAACAGAAAAATAAATACATCCATTATGTCACAGAGCACATCTACATCGTTATATCTTCCACGGCCATTTATACTCAATAAACGTTTACTAAGTCTCTATTGAGTTCCTCATCCAAACTGTCCAATAGGCCTTCCCTTGAAAATTCTATATCCCTCAGAAGATTTTGTTTTCAGCCAACAGATAAATGATCTAACTCTAAGTCTTAGTGGGTATTCTGTACAGGAAAATAGTTAAAAGTGCAACTATCATTCATACTTTAATAACTTCTTATTTAAAACATATTACTTTTTTGCACCCCAATCAGCTTTGATGGACAGGAAACAGTCTCCCACTCTCAAGAAACTTACTCTTATAAACTTGTTATGAGTTAATGAGCGCAGCACACCAACATGGCACATGTATACATATGTAACTAACCTGCACGTTGTGCACATGTACCCTAAAACTTAAAGTATAATAAAAAAAGTTATAAACTTGCAATAACTAAATTAGCATAGACTCAGTCCTTCACATTTGTAGTAGTTGCAGGGACTTTACAATATGACCTGTGTAGCAACAAAATTAACCATCTTCTGAAATATCTCACATAGTACTATAACATTCCACTGTTAAACATTCAGACCTCCATGTCTCAAAAAAATAAACAGTTTTCTTTAATCTCTCATTAAATTTCAAGATACTGGACTTTTACCAGTATAAATAACCACAAAATCTCTGACTGTTCGAGTTCTAGGGAGTTTCCATTACATCCTTGCCTATACCACAATTCCAAACACATTTACTATTCTAATTTCAGCATAGTTTTAAACTGAACTAAACTAACTCATCCCTGTCACCAGCTATTACATCAGCAACTAGAGGGTTTTTTTGTTTGCTTTTTTGGCAGAACTCATACAGTGAACTGGATAGTGAGAGAGGAGAAAATATACAATGAAAAGAGAGGTAAAAAATGGTGAAACATAGTTTTATTTATAATGTTGTTCAGGTACTAAGAGTGCTCAAAAATACAACCTCAGCATCCAGACTAAAAACAAAAAAATACTGAAGGATAAATTCCAAGTTCAATGTAAGAAAGCATGGGTTGAGTCATTTTCTTTCCTTCTTTTTTTGAGATGGAGTCTCACTCTGTCATCCAGGCTGGAGTGCAGTGGTATGATCTTGGCTCATTGCAACCTCCACCTCGTGGGTTCAAGTGATTTTCCTGCCTCAGCCTCCTGAGTAGCTAGGACTACAGGTGCGTGCCACCACACTCAGCTAATTTTTGTATCTTTAACAGAGACAGGGTTTCATCATGTTAGTCAGGATGGTCTTGATCTCCTGACCTTGTGATATGGGAGTGACAGTAAATATCAGTGTCTAGTGTGATTCATCAGTCTAGCCAAAATACAGAGTTTGAAGTAATAAGGCAAGTTCCTTGGAACAACTTGGTCCATGACCAACAGAGACATTTTAGAAACATTACCAAATATAACATCTCTTTCACATCCTAGTAACACAAAGAAGTAACAATAACTCTGGGAGATTTATAATGGGAAGTTACTCACACAATGCCATGGAAACCCAATAACCTTAATGCCCAGTTGTTTTCAGAAGTGTCTACTATGGGAAGTTATGCACACTGGAGACTCCCACAGAAGCCTAATTCTGCCACCCTAGGATGAAAACTGGCATTTTGGATTCAATATTCCTAATACACTGGCCAGATGAGGGCAATTTGAAAGACAACTACTGAGAAGTGCTTGAACTTTCACAGAGACACAGATTAATTCATTATGAGTGTCCTCGATGTCATGGTGACATTAGAGGGCCAGTTAAAAAAGCATAGCATGGCATGACAACGTTTCTTAATAAAATTGAAAGAGCATATGTAGAAATGTTCAAGGGGGTGGCTCTGATAAATATATCATATTTATAAGTATAAATTTCAGAACAAATAGAACCTCTGACAGAGGTTTTCATTCCTGCTAATCACTGGTATGAATGCAATTATCCTTTTCCTGATAAAGAAAAACAAGATATTTAATTTCCTAATGGAGATTTTCAAACGAAAGGGTATGATTCATATGGAAATCTGCTGAAATTCTCCCTCTGAATAGTAGAAATTTGGTTCAAGAAGGTAAAGTTAAGTCCTCTGAATGACCATATGTATGAGCAGCATAAACTTTAGTTCATGGAGCATTTGGTTCTCACTCTCAGAGCAATGTCTGAATATTTCCTGACACCTGTGGTGTAACCACACCATTTGGTCAGGTAGACAAGCCTCTGGTCTACCTGACCAAATGGTGTGGTTACACCACAGGTGTCAGGAAATATTCAGACATTGCTCTGAGAGTGAGAACCAAATGCTCCATGAACTAAAGTTTTTGCTGCTCATACATATGGTTGATCAAGAAATCCAGCAACAGAGGATGCTATTGTGGAAGCCACATTAGGATTCTAAGGGAAGATTAAACTGAGTGCTATAGGTCTTTAAGGAACCTAGGTTTTGATTCTTTTAAAAAAAGAATAGAAAGTCTTTGTCCCTGCATTTTCAGTGGCCATTTGGATATATGAGATGAATGACACATAATGATGGGAAGAATAGTGACATACTCCACTAAGTCAACCAAAACCAGTAATATCATAAAGACTCAGGTGTTTTATCAATAGCAGAAACACTGTTTAAATAGGATTAAAGAGTACTTGCTAGTGCCAAGAACCAAAACAGAGCTTTTAGGGTTATTACAAAGGATCAATAGCCATAGCTCCTAGTGATGTCAAATGGGTTTATCATGATTAGACTTTTAATGACACTTTGAGATTCACTTAGCCTGTAATCCAAGCCACAAATGAAAACACCATCTGGCTAGTGAAACAATACATGGACTACCAATTTGATCCCCAAATCTCATTGAATCAAAGCACAAATTTTCTCATGGCCAGTGGACATAAATGAGCTAAGAAGTACATCACATAAGCCGGTAGCAGTGGCTCACGCCTGTAATCGACAACACTTTGGGAGGCCAAGGTGGGCAGATCACCTGAGGTCAGCAGTTTGAGACCAGCCTGACCGACATGGTGAAAACCAGCCTCTACTAAAAATACAAAAATTAGCTGGGTGTGGTCTTACATGCCTATAATCCCAGCTACTTGGGAGGCTGAGGCAGGAGAATACCTTGAACCCGGGAGGCAGAAGTTGCAATGAGCCAGGATCATTCCACTGCATCCCAGCCTGGACGACACAGTGAGACTCTGTCTCAAAAGAAACAAACAAAAAAGTACCTCAAATGGACATATTATACCCCTTACAAACCATATAATAATGGCTTTTTTAAAAGATGAGTTGGAATTAAATAGGTAATAGTTTAAAGGAAAAATCGTGTCAGATGTAAAAGGAGCACACAAATGGGTGATAGCACCTAGAATGGACACTCTTATTCTTTACGCATGACATTATTTTGTTTCCAGAGAATAAAACTCCAGTTTCTCTCATATGTGACATGAAGTCAGCTAATGCTAGGAAAGGACGATGAACCCCTTCTCACTAGAATGGGAGAACTACACTGAAGTTATTTAATGCTCTGTTTGAGAATTGTATTATTTGTAGGAAAGATACAAGGCTGTAAATGCTTCTGTTGATACAACTGCATAAAAACAAATTATAACTATAAAAACGTGAAGATCATAAAAGATAAAGAGAGTAGCCCTATTGATAAAGGATGTCAAAAAGTGTTATTGTATAATCCTTAATTCTGGAATGTTGACATTAATGCTGAGACATGGACCGTATTGAGTTTCAACAGAAAGCTGAAAATTTACTACATCACCCTACTAGGGCAGAAATTGAACTTCAAACTCTTTTCCAAAACCCCGTGTACTAGCAAATTGCTGGAATTTCCTCTCACTCTCAATCTTTTACCTTTTTTGTGTTAGGGGAGATCTAAATGTGGTCTCAAACTGCCATATGAAATTCAGTAATTAGCTCAGTACTTGAGAGATGAGAAATGTAACAGCCATCAGACCTGTATTATGCAAAATGCAAAAAAAAGTTCCTCAGGCTGAAAAACACAATATTATATAAAAATTATAATTTATAGAAAAGAATTCAGAAAGTGGATATAATACATAGGGAGAGGGCAGTGGTTCTCCCAGCACGGTGTTTGAGCTCTGAGAATGGACAGACTGCCTCCTCAAGTGTGTCCCTGACCCCCATGTAGCCTAACTGGGAGACACCTCCCAGTAGGGGCTGACTGACACCTCGTACAGGTGGGTGCCCCTCTGGGATGAAGCTTCCAGAGGAAGGATCAGGCAGCAATGTTTCCTGTTCTGCAATATTTGCTGTTCTGCAGCCTCTGCTGGTGATATCTACGCAAACAGGGTCTGGAGTGGACCACCAGGAAAGTCCAACAGACCTGTAGCTGAGGGCCCTGACTGTTACATGGAAAACTAACAAACAGAAAGGAATACCATCAACATCAACAAAAAGAACATCCACACCAAAACCCCATCTGTAGGTCACAACATCAAAGACCAAAGTTAAATAAAACCACAAAGATGGAGAGAAACCAGAGCAGAAAAGCTGAAATTTCTAAAAACCAGAGCGCCTCTTCTCCTGCAAAGGATTGCAGCTCCTCACCAGCAATGGAATATAGCTGGATAGAGAATGACTTTGATGAGCTGACAGAAGAGGGCTTCAGAAGGACGGTAATAACAAATTTCTCTGAGCTGAAGGAGGATGTTTGAACCCATCACGTGGAAGGTAAAAACCTTGAAAAAAGATTAAATGAATGGCTAACTAGAATAAACAGTGTAGATAAGACCTTAAATGACCTGATGGAGCTGAAAACCATGGCACGAGAACTACGTGATGCATGCACAAACTTCAATAGCCAATGCGATCAAGTGGAAGAAAGGGTATCAGTGATTGAAGATCAAATTAATGAAATGAAGCGAGAAGAGAAGTTTAGAGAAAACAATGTGAAAAGAAACGAACAAAGCCTCCAAGAAATATGGGACTATGTGAAAAGACCAAATCTACGTTTGTTTGGTGTACCTAAAAGTGACAGGGAGAACAGAAACAAGTTGGAAATCACTCTGCAGGATATTATCCCGGAGAACTTCACCAACCTAGCAAGGCAGACCAACATTCAAATTCAGGAAATACAGAGAACACCACAAAGATACTCCTCAAGAAGAGCAACCCCAAGACACATAATTGTCAGATTCACCAAGGTTGAAGAGAAGGAAAAAATTTAAGGGAAGCCAGAGAGAAAGGTCGGGTTATCCACAAAGGGAAGCCAATCAGACTAACAGTGGATCTCTTCGCAGAAGTCCTATGAGCCAGAAGAGAGTGGGGGCCAATATTCAACATTCTTAAAGAAAAGAATTTTCAACCCAGAAATTCAAATCCAGCCAAACTAAGCTTCATCAGTGAAGGAGAAATAAAATCCTTCACAGACAAGCAAATGCTGAGAGATATTTTTCACCACCAGGCCTCCCTTACAAGAGCTCCTGAAGGAAGCACTAAACATGGAAAGGAACAACTGGTACCAGCCACTGCAAAAACATGGCAAATTGTAAAGACCATCAATGTGAGGAAGAAACTGCATTAACTAACAAGCAAAATAACCAGCTAACATCATAATGACAGGATCACATTCACACATAACAATATTACCTTAAAGGTAAATGGGCTAAATACCCAATTCAAAGACACAGACTGGGAAATTGGATAAAGAGTCAAGATCCATCAATGTCCTGTGTTCAGGAGACCCATCTCACATGCAGAGACACACATAGGTTCAAAATAAAGGGATGGAGGAAGATCTACCAAGCAAATGGAAAACAAAAAAAGGCAGGGGTTGCAATCCTAGTCTCTGATAAAACAGACTTTAAACCAACAAAGATCAAGAGAAACAAAGAAAGCCATTACATAATGGTAAAGGGATCAATTCAACAAGAAGAGCTAACTATCCTAAATATACATGCACCCAATACAGGAGCATCCGGATTCATAAAGCAAGTCCTTAGAGACCTACAAAGAGACTTAGACTCCCACACAATAATAGTGGGAGAATTTAACACCCCACTGTCAATATTAGACAGATCAACGAGACAGGAGGTTAACAAGGATATCCAGGACTTGAACTCACCTCTGCACCACGCGGACCTAATAGACACCTACAGAACTCTCCACCCCAAATCAACAGAATATACATTCTTCTCAGCACCACATCACACTTATTCCAAAATTGACCACATAGTTGGAAGTAAAGCACTCCTCAACAAATGTAAAAGAATAGAAATCACAGCAAACTGTCTCTCAGACTACAGTGCAACCAAAGTAGAAGTCAGCATTAGGAAACTCACTCAAAACCGCACAACTTCATGGAAACTGAACAACCTGCTCCTGAATGATTACTGGGTAAATAATGAAATGAAGGCAAAATAAAGATGTTCTTTGAAACCAATGAGAAAAAGACACAATGTACCAGAATCTCTGGGACACATTTAAAGCAGTCTGTAGAGAGAATTTTGTAGCACTAAATGCCCACAAGAGAAAGCAGGAAAGATCTAAAATTGACACCCTAACATCGCAATTAAAAGAACTAGAGAAGCAAGAGCAAACACATTCAAAAGCTGACAAAAGGCAAGAAACAACTAACATCAGAGGAGAACTGAAGGACATAGAGACCCAAAAAAAACCCTTCAAAAAATCAGTGAATCCAGCAGCTGGTTTTTTGAAAAGATCAGCAAAATCGATAGACCACTAGCAAGACTAATAAAGAAGAAAATACAGAAGAATGAAATAGAAGCAATAAAAAATGATAAAGAGGATATCACCGTCAATCCCACAGAAATACAAACTACCATCAGAGAATTCTATAAATTTCTCTACACAAATAAACTAGAAAATCTAAAAGAAATGAATGAATTCCTGGATACATACACCCTCCCAAGACTAAACCAGGCAGAAATTAAATCTCTGAATAAACCATTACACCAATAACAGGCTCTGAAATTGAGGCAATAATTAATAGCCTACCAACCAAAAAAACTCCAGGACCAGACAGATTCACAGCCAAATTCTACCAGAGGTACAAAGAGGAGCTGGAACTATTCTCTCTGATACCATTCCAATCAATAGAAAAAGAGGGAATGCTCCCTAACTCATTTTATGAGGCCAGCATCATCCTGATACCAAAGCCTGGCAGAGACACAACAAAAAAAGAGAATTTTGCACCAATATCCCTGATGAACTTCGACGCAAAAATCCTTAATAAAATACTGGCAAACTGAATCCAGCAGCACATCAAAAAGCTTATCCACCATGATCAAGTCAGCTTCATCCCTGGGATGCAAGGCCCATTCAACATACACAAATCAATAAACGTAGTCCATCACATAAACAGAACCATTGACCAAAACCAAATAATTATCTGAATATATGCAGAAAAGGCCTTCAACAAAATTCAATGGCCCTTCATGCTAAAAATCCTCAGTAAACTAGGTATTGATGGAATGTATCTCCAAATAATAAGAGCTCTTTATGACAAACCCACAGCCAATATCATACTAAAGGGGCAAAAACTGGAAGCATTCCCTTTGAAAACTGGCACAAGACTAGGATGCCCTCTCTCACCACTCCTATTCAACATAGTGTTGGAAGTTCTGGCCAGGGTAATCAGGCAAGAGATAGAAATAAAGGGTATTCAAGAGAGGGATGTTCCAAGAGGGCTGAATGGGAACAGCTCCAGTCTACAGCTCCCAGCATGAGCAACACAGAAGACAGGTGATTTCTGCATTTCCAACTGAGGTTGCGGGTTCATTTCACAGGGGCTTGTCAGACAGTGGATGCAGGACAGTGGGTGCAGCCCATGGGGTGTGAGCTGAAGCAGGGTGAGGCATCACCTCACCTGGGAAGCACAAGGGATTGGAGAATTCCCTTTCCTAGCCAAGGGAAGCCGTGATAGATGGCACCTGGGAAATTGGGTCACTCCTACCCTAATACTGTAATTTTCCAATGGTCTTAGCAAACAGCACACTGGGAAATTATATCCTGCACCTGGCTCGTAGGGTCCCATGCCCACAAAGTCCCCCTCATTGCTAGCACAGCAGTCTGAGATTGAACTGCAAAGTGACAGTGAGGCTGGGGGAGGGGTGCCCACCATTGCTGAGGCTTGAGTAGGTAAATAAAGTGGCTGTGAAGCTCAAATTGCATGGAGCCCACCGCAGCTCAAGGAGGCCTGCTTGCCTCTGTAGACTCCACCTCTTGGGGCAGGGCATAGATGAACAAAAGGCAGCAGAAACTTCTGCAGACTTGAATGTCCCTGTCTGACAGCTATGAAGAGAGTAGTGGTTCTCCCAGCACAGAGTTTGACATCTGAGAACAGACAGACTGCCTCCTCAAGTGGTTCCCTGACCCCTGAGTAACCTAACTGGGGGGCACTTCCCAGTAGGGGCTGACTGACAGTTCATACAGCCAGGTGCCCCTCCAAGACGAAGCTTCCAGAGGAAAGATCAGACAGCAACATTTGCCATTCTGCAATATTTGCTATTCTGCAGCCTCCACTGGTGATAGCCAGGCAAACAGAGTCTGGAGTGGACCACCAGAAAACTCCAACAGATCTGGAGCTGAGGGTCCTGACTATTAGAAGGAAAACTAACAAACAGGAAGGACATTGACACCAAAACCCCATCTGTACATCACTATCATCAAAGATCAAAGGTAGATAAAACCATAAACATGGGGAGAAACCAGAGCAGAAGAGCTGAAAATTCTAAAAATCAGAGCACCTCTTCTCCTCCAAAGAAAAGCAGCTCCTCGCCAGCAACAGAACAAAGCTGGATGGAGAATCACTTTGACAAATTGAGAGAAGAAGGCTTCGGATGACCGGTAATAACAAACTTCTCCCGGCTAAAGAGGGTGTTTGAACCCATTGCAAAGAAGCTAAAAGCCTTGAAAAAAGAACAGATGAATGGCTAACTAGAATAAACAGTGTAGATAAGACCTTAAATGATCTGATGGAGCTGAAAACCATGGCACAAGAACTACGTCATGTATGCACAAGCTTCAGTAGCTGATTCAATCAGCTGAAAGAAAGGGTATCAGTGATTGAAGATCAAATAATGAAATGAAGCTAGAAGAGAAGTTTAGAGGAATAAAGAGTAAAAAGAAATGAACAAAGCCTCCAAGAAATATGGGACTATGTGAAAAGACCAAATCTACGTCTGATTGAGGGACCTGAAAGTGATGGGGAGAATGGAAACAAGTTGGAAAACACTCTGCAGGATATTACCCTGGAGAACTTCACCAACCTAGCAAGGCAGGCCAACATTCAAATTCAGAAAATACAGAGAACACCACAAACATACTCCTTGAGAAGAGCAACTCCAAGACACATAATTGTCAGACTCACCAAAGTTGATATGAAGGAAAAAATGTTAAGGGAAGCCAGAGAGAAAGGTCGGGTTACCCACAAAGGGAAGCCCATCAAACTAAAAGTTGATCTCTTGGCAGAAACTCTATAAGCCAGAAGAGAGTGGGGGCCAATATTCAACATTCTTAAAGAAAAGAATTTTCAACCCAGAAATTCATATCCAGCCAAACTAAGCTTCAAAAGTGAAGGAGAAATAAAATCCTTTACAGACAAGCAAATGCTGAGAGATTTGGTCACCACGAGGCCTCCCTTACAAGAGCTCCTGAAGGAAGCACTAAACATGGAAAGGAACAATCAGTACCAGCTACTGCAAAAACATGGCAAATTGTAAAGACCATCAAGGCTGGGAAGAAACTGCATCAACTAACGAGCAAAATAACCAGCAAACATCTTAATGACAGGATCACATTCACACATAACAATATTAACCTTAAATATAAATGGGCTAAATGCTCCAATTAGAAGACACAGACTGGCAAATTGGATAAAGAGTCAAGATCCATCAGTGTGCTGTGTTCGGGAGACCCATCTCACATGCAGAGACACACATAGGCTCAGAATAAAGGGATAGAGGAAGACCTACCAAGCAAATGGAAAACAAAATAAAAGCAGGGGTTGCAATCCTAGTCTCTGATAAAACAGACTTTAAACCAGCAAATATCAAAAGAGACAAAGAAGGCCATTACATAATGGTAAAGGGATCAATTCAACAAGAAGAACTAACTATCTTAAATATACATACGCCCAATACAGGAGCATGCAGATTCATAAAGCAAGTCCTTAGAGACCTACAAAGAGACTTAGACTCCCACACAATAATAATGGGAGAGTTTAACACCACACTGTCAACATTAGACAGATCAACGAGACAGAAAGTTAACAAGGATATCCAGGAATTCAACACAGCTCTGCACCAGGCCTACCTAATAGACATCTACAGAACTTTCTACCCCAAATCAACAGAATATACATTCTTTTGAGCACCACATCACACTTGTTCCAAAATTTACCACATAGTTGGAAGTAAAACACTCCTCAGCAAATGTAAAAGAACAGAAATTAAAACAAACTGTCTCTCAGATCCCAGTGCAATCACACTAGAACTCAGGATTAAGAAACACTCAAAACTGCTCAACTACATGGAAAGTGAAAACTTGCTCCTGAATGACTACTGGGTACGTAACAAAATGAAGGCAGAAATAAAGATGTTCTTTGAAACCAGTGAGAACAAAGATACAACATACCAGAATCTCTGGGACACATTCAAAGCAGTGTGTAGAGGGAAATTTATAGCACTAAATGCCCACAAGAGAAAGCAGGAAAGATCTAAAATTGACACCCTAACATCACAATTAAAAGAACTAGAGAAGCAAGAGCAGACACATTCAAAAGCTAGCAGAAGGCAAGAAATAACTAACATCAGAGCAGAACTGAAGGAGATAGAGATACAAAAAACCCTTCAAAAAATCAATGAATCCAGGAGCTGGTTTTTGGAAAGATCAACAAAATTGATAGACCACTAGCAAGACTAATAAAGAAGAAAATACAGAAGAATCAAATAGATGCAATACAAAATGATAAAAGGGATATCACCCCCAATCCCACAGAAATACAAACTACCATCAGAGAATACTATAAACACCTCTACACAAATAAACTAGAAAATCTAGAAGAAACGGATAAATTCCTCGACACATACACCCTCCCAAGACTAAACCAGGAAGAAGTTGAAACCCTGAATAGACCAATAACAGTCTCTAAATAATTTGTAGACTACCAACCAAAAAAAGTCCAGGAACAGATGGATTTACAGCCGAATTCTATGCGAGGTACAAAGAGGAGCTGGTAACATTCCTTCTGAAACTATTCCCATCAATAGAAAAGGAGGGAATCGTCCCTAACTCATTTTATGAAGCCAGCATCATACTTATAACAAAGCCTAGCAGAGACACAACAAAAAAAAGAGAATTTTACACCAATATCCCTGATGAACATTGATGCAAAAATCCTCAATACGATACTGGCAAACTGAATCCAGCAGCACATCAAAAAGCTTATCCACCATGATCAAGTGGGCTTCATCCCTGGGATGCAAGGCTGGTTCAACATATGCAAATCAATAAATGTAATCAATGATATAAACAGAACCAAAGACAAAAACACATGACTATCTCAATAGATTCAGAAAAGGCCTTTGACAAAATTCAACAGCACTTCATGCTAAAAACTCTCAATAAGTTAGGTTTTGATGGAACGTATCTCAAAATAATAAGAGCTCTTTATGACAAACCCACAGCAAATACCATACGGAATGGGAAAAAGCTGGAAGCATTCCCTTTGAAAACTGGCACAAGACAGGGATGTCCTCTCTCACCACTCCTATTCAACATAGTGTTGGAAGTTCTGGCCAGGGCAATTAGGCAGGAGAAGGAAATAAATGGTATTCAATTAGCAAAAGAGGAAGTCAAATTGTCCCTGTTTTCAGATGATATGATTATATATTTAGAAAACCCCATAGTCTAAGCCCAAAATTTCCTTAAGTAGATAAGCAACTTCAGCAAAGTGTCAGGATACAAAATCAATGTGCAAAAATCACAAGCATTCCTATACACCAATAACAGACAAATAGAGAGCCAAATCATGAGTGAACTCCCATTCACAATTGCTTCAAGGAGAATAAAATATCTAGAAATCCAAGTTACAAGGGATGTGAAGGACTTCTTCAAGGAGAACTACAAACCACTGCTCAACAAAATAAAAGAGGACACAAACAAATGGAAGAACATTCCACGCTCATGGATAGGAAGAATCAATATTGTGAAAATGGCCATATTGCCCAAGGTAATTTATAGATTCAATGCCATCCCCATCAAGTTACCAACGACTTTCTTCACAGAATTGGAAAAAACTACTTTAAAGTTCATATGGAGCCAAAAAAAGCCCGCATTGCCAAGACAATCTTAAACCAAAAGACCAAAAATGGAAGCATCATGCTACCTGACTTCAAACTATACTACAAGGCTACAGTAACCAAAATAGCATGATACTGGTACCAAAACAGAGATATAGACCAATGGAACAGAACAGAGGCCTTAGAAATAACACTGCACATCTACAACCATCTGATCTTTGACAAACCTGACAAAAACAAGCAATGGGGAAAGGATTCCCTATTTAATAAATGGTGCTGGGAAAACTGGCTAGCCATATGTAGAAAGCTGAAAGTGGATGCCTTCCTTACACCTTATAGAAAAATTAATTCAAGATGGATTAAAGACTTAAATGTTATACCTAAAAGCATAAAGAGCCTAGAAGAAATCCTAGGCAACACCATTCAGGACATAGGCATGGGCAAGGACTTCATGTCTAAAACACCAAAAGCAATGGCAACAAAAGCCAAAATTGACAAATGGGATCTAATTAAACTAAAAAGCTTCTGCACAGCAAAAGAAACTACCATCAGAGTGAATAGGCAACCTACAGAATGAGAGGAAAATTTTGCAATCTACCCATCTGACAAAGGACTAATATCCAGAATCTACAATGAACTCAAACAAATTTACAAGAAAAAAATCAAACCACCCCATCAAAAAGTGGGCAAAGGATATGAATAGACACTTCTCAAAGGAAGACATTTATGCAGCCAACAGACACATGAAAAAATGCTCATCATCACTGGTCATCAGAGAAATGCAAATCAAAGCCACAATGAGATACCATCACACACCATTTACAATGGCAATCATTTAAAAGTCAGGAAACAACAGATGCTGGAGAAGATGTGGAGAAATAGGAACACTTTTACACTGTTGGTGGGACTGTAAACTAGTTCAACCATTTTGGAAGAGAGTGTGGTGATTCCTCAAGGATCTAGAGCTAGGAATACCATTTGACCCAGCAATACAATTACTGGGTATATACCCAGAGGATTATAAATCATGCTACTATAAAGAGACATGCACACATATGTTTACTGCGGCACTATTCACAATAGCAAAGATTTGGCACCAACTCAAATGTCCATCAATGATAGACTGGATTAAGAAAATGTGGCACATATACACCATGCAATATTATACAGCGTAAAAAGGATGAGTTCATGTCCTTTGCAGGGACATTGATGAAGCTGGAAACCATCATTCTCAGCAAACTATCACAAGGACAGAAAATCAAACACCATATGTTCTCACTCATAGGTGGGAATTGAACAATGAGAACACTTGGACACAGGGTGGGGAGCATCACACACCAGGGCCTGTTGTGGAGTGGGGGGTAGGAGGATGGATAGCATTGGGAGAAGTACCTAATGTAAATGATGGGTTGATGGGTGCAGTTGCTCAGCATGGCACATGTATATCTGTGTAACAAGCCGGCAAGTTGTGCACATGTACCCTAGAACTTAAAGTATAATTAAAAAAAAAAACCCTAAAAAAAGAAAAAAAATAACCAAAAGATTTGGCACATGTAATTAAAATAGTACTGAGAGGGAAATTTATAGCTGTAAGTGTTATATTAAAAATATTTAAAAGCACCAATCAGAACTTTCACTTTGAGAAGAGTAAATTAAAGCCAAGGTACGTAAAAGAAAGGAGGTGATAATTATAAGATGAAAAATCAATAAAATGGGAAACATAAAATAGAGAAAATCAAAATAGTGAAAAGTTGGTACTTTTATAATAAAATTGACAAACTTCCAGCAAGAATGATCAAGAAAGAGAAAAGAAATAGAAATTCAAATTATCAATATCAGATTTTTTAAAATCATCTTCAAATAGATCCTTTAGACTTTAAAGGGATAGAAAAGGATTGTTATCAAAAAGATTAGTTTAATTACTTCGACAGCTTAGATAAAATGGTAAAATGTAGGGAAAATCCAACCTTCTGAAAATGACCCCCAAAACAAATTGAAAAGCTAAAAGCTCCTCTATCCCTCTAAGTAATGAACTATTCTTGTTTATAGATAATATGATAGTATCTCAGAACACTCTAAAGAATCTACAGAGATGGCTGGAAATAAGTGACAAATTTAGCACATTTATAAGACTCAAATGACAAATGAAAAAATTCAATTGCATTTATATACACTAACAGCAATAACAATTGAAAATTTTTTTAATTACAACCTGTGAAAGCATCTGAACACATAAATACTTAGGAACAGATGAGTAAGATCCCTATACTATAACTACAAAACTTTTCAAACATAAATATTTAAAACACATAATAGATATATGGCATTCAAGAATTAGAAAAGCCACTATTGTTAAGATGTTAATTCAGTCCAAGATGATTTATAGATCCAACTCAATCTGAATAAAACTCCCAATATGTTCTTTTTCAGATGTAGACAATTTTCTGCACACTGCTCTGCAAAGTGACTTTGCCACTTCCCCATCAAGGATTATCGTCTGTTTCTGTAACATTTCAAATCTGGGATGGTCATGTGACCACTCTGAAATATAGAAGATGGTGCAAGAGAGATTGTGCCAGTTCTGGACATAGCCCTTAATTGGCCTGAGGTCTTCTACTTTCTACCATGGGGATCTCTTAGTGCCACGTAAAAAGCCTGACTATCTTTTGAAGAGATCTTGTGGTCCTCCATCAAAATGCATAGGAGGAAGGACTCAGTGGATCTCTTCCAGTCATCACCTCAAAGATGCTATAAATGTGAAGTAAGCTTTCCTGGATCCTACAGATGATCCAGCTATCAGCTGAACAACACTGACTTCAGTCCATGTCACATGAAACAGAAGAAATACCCAGTGAACCAGTGCCTGAATTTCTAGCCCACAAAATTTTAAAGTAAAATAAATTGGTGATTAAGTCACAAAAACTGTGGAGCCTTGTACAATGCAGGAAGAGATAACCAGAATAAAAGTGGCACCTGTTAAGTGTGGTGCTTCCATAACAACAATATAAAGCATGTGGCACAGGCTTTAATACCAGAAGCTAGATGACACTTAGAATGATCTCCTGGACAGTGTAACTGATGGCTGAAAAGACAGAAGTAACTGGGGGAAAAAATGTGACTCCTTATCTAGTGCCAGAAAAGTTTGGTAATACTCCCATCTATAGTAATGCAGAAAACAGAAAGTATACTTAAATGAACAGGTGGATCCAGCTAAAATTTTCAAGTGCAGTATTGAAAGTTCAACCTGTTTCTTATAACAGTGTAAGATATGATAAGACATAAATAAAAATATGAGTTAAAAGAGTAGCTTGAATTTTCAGGCAGAACTTACAAGAAAAATAAAGCAGCCCAAACTTGCTGGTTTCAAAAATAAAACTGGTTTCCCTTTCCAGTCTCTCCAAAGATCTAAAGACTCTCAATGTAAGTAATGTCACCTAGCTTCTAATATTAAAGCCAATGCCACATGCTTTGAGTGGCAGAAAAAAGGTTATCTCAAAGTTGTCAATGGAAGATTCTTTGAGAAAACTTCAGAAAGATTTTAAAATGTGTCTCATAAAACCTACCAATTAAACAAAAATAATTCAATACTCCTATGGGAATTATCCCGCTGCACACACACAGACTCTCAGCTCAAACCCAAGAATAGTCCGTTGCAAAGATGTTTGTGAGTATGACCCTTGTATAATGTTGTAAATGCCAATAAAAATAACACAGAAATGTTACAAAGTTTTTACGGAAATTGCATTGAAGGAAGCACTTTAGTCTTTTCTTCTGAACAAGAGTGTCTATGTTTATCTTCTCATCTCTTCCTCCATTGTATGCTAGAATGAGAAAGAAAAACCCTGTCTCTAGTTTATAGATCTGAAAATAGAGAAGAACCAAAAGTAAAGGCCCTACCTCAGAAATTGTACCAAAAGGGCTTTGTCTATACTCACTCTGGATATATAATTTGAAATACTGGATGTCAAATTGAGGCCACGATGGGACAAGTTAACTGAGCTGGGAGCTCATAAATCCTGCTTTCCCAATCTAGGATCCCTGAATTGCCATTACAAGTCTGACAACCTTTCTGGAAAGACCTTGTCTACACAACCCTGTAGCTACATGAAGATGTACACTCTTATTCTATCTACAGTTAATTTTTTACACTAGGGGTTTTCTATAGCATTTCTCGTCTATGAATTTCTCAACATGTATATTAAAGGATTCAGCATGGGTGTGATAACTGTATAAAACACAATAATAAATTTATCAATGGGGAAGTTAAAAACAGGTCTAACATACATGAAAATACAGGGAACAAAAAAGAGGACAACTACAGTAATGCGGGAGCTGCAGGTAAACAGGGCTTTATGCCTCCCTTCCTGACTGTAAGTTTTAAGGGAGATTAGGATGACGCCAGAGGAGATTAGTAGAAGGGTGAAGATGACCACACAGATTGCTTCAACCTTGAAAACCACAGTGAGGCCTATAAAGTAGGTGTCAGTTCATGCCATTTCCATTAATGGGTACATGTTACAGAAAAAGTGGTCAATGACATTGGGGCCACAGAAAGGGAGACTGTACACAACAACAATTTGGAACACAGAACGCACAAAACTCCAGTCACAGCCACTACCAACAGAAGGATGAAAACCTGTCGATTCATGATGGTAAAATAGTGCAGTGGCTTACAGATGGCCACATAGCGATCACAGGCCATCACCAACAGAAAAAAAGACCTCAACACCACCAAATAAGTGGTCTGTAAGTGGCTGGCCCATGCAAGTTGGGAACAAAATAGTCTTTTAATTATGGAGTTAGTCTACAACCAATTTGGGATAAATGGTGGTGGAATACACAGCATCTATAAATGACAGGCAGGCAAGGAAAAAGTACATTGGGGAGCCCAAGGATGGGGTGGCAATAATAGTCACCACAATGAGCAGGTTCCCCACCATAGTCACAATGTATGTTAGTAAAAACATGACAAATAATGCATTTTGCACATCGAGATCCTGAGTGAGGCCCAGGAGGAAAAGTTCTGTAACATTGTTACTCAGTCCCATTTACTTTTCTCTAAGGCTTGTATCAGAGTAAAGAACTTGGGAGAACAGGACCTGTAATGAAATCATGAACAGGAATATGAATACATCCATGATGTCACAGAGCACATCTTCACTTTGTATCCTCAATAGTGGTTTACACACATGATAAACATTTTGTTAAGTCTCTATTGAGTTCCTCATGTCCTCAAGATTTTAGTTTGAGCCTACAGGTAACAGCTTCTGCCTCTAAGTTTTAGTGAATATTCTGTACAGAAGAAGAGTTAAAGGCCCAACAGCCATTCATGTATTTCATAACTCCTTATTTAAAACATATTTCTTGGCACAGAAGTCAGCTATGATGAATAGACAACAGATTATTGGTCTCAAGAAAGTTACTTTCCTGTGGTGGTAATAAACTCTAAATAAATAAATTGGCATATATTCAGTGCTTTGAGTTTGTAGTGTTGTGGTATCTTTATGATCTGTGTAGCATCAAAAATAGCACCTTCTGAAATATCTCAATCAGTACTGTGGCATTCCACAGTTACACATTCGGACCTTCATGCCTCGAAAGATGTTCAGTCTTTATGACTATCTCATTAAATGTTAAGAGACTAGACATTAATCTGTATAAATAGTAAAATATTATTTATCACATTATTCCCTGTAGTGATTACTTGGTCTGACCCTCTGTTTGCCTTGTAAGGATCTGCACATCTCTGCATCTTATTCTTGCCTATTCCACAATTTTGTATCATATACACATACAGTATCCTGATTTTCACCAACTAATTTTGAACTCAAGAAAACTAACTGATGACTATCACCAACTGCCACATTAGCTGTGATTATTTTTTTCTGAATTCTTGGGGTGAACTAGATAGTGAGAGAAAAGAAAATAGACACTGTACAAAGAGGTACAGAACAGTGGGACATGGTTTTATTTTTAACATTATTTAGATACAGAGAGTACTCAAAAATAGAAACTTAGTGTTCGTATCCCCAAAAAAAAAAAAACCTCAAAGAGAAATTTGAACTTCACTGTAAGATGACATGAATGTGAGTCATTTTCTGAATGCATTTACAAGTCTGTCTTCATTTTCTCACTGGAAAACAATGTGATTAAATTAGATGAACTGAGAATCCTTTCCAGTCAATCATCTACAAAACTATTAGTGCACCTCTCCCTTATTCTATTCTGCTGACTTTTTTTCATTTTTCTTATATTATAATTAAATAGCAATTTCCAAGCTCATGGCTATTACATGAATAATGACAGTCAGTGGTAGATGTTTCATAATTAGAGTGAGTAAATTATGACTACAAGTTTCCCACTCAATTTGTGCCTATTTATCCAAGATATCCTTGGAGAGAAAGCATAGCATTTGGTGAATAATGTGGACATTGGAGCCACAATACCTCAGCTACAACCCTAGCTTCACCACTTACTGTGTGACTTTGGGCCACTTACTAAACTTCTCTATGACTCATTTTCATTTAAAATCTCCAGTTATTTTATTACAAAACAGTAAAGTGCCTAGAACACTGGCTGACACCTGGTAAAGGCCCAGTAAAAGATAGCTATTACTTGTGTTCCTGAATGCTTCACTGGGAACATTGGATCAAAACAAATCATCTGGATCTGTGTCAATTTGAAAAGATTTACAGACATAGTCCAGAGAAAGAAAAGAAGATACATATAATTCAGAAAAGGCTTTTGGGGACACAATATAATTGTATGTCTTAGGAATTTTCCATTTAACTACATATGAGTAGTGATTTTATCTGTGATGGAATGTATCTTGACAAGATCAGACATAATTACAACAGAAAAATTGGACCCATCATTAGAGAGAGAACTAAATGGCAAAAAATGAAAGAAAAAGGGACTAAATCAGAAAACAGAGTAAATACAATAATTCAAAGATCATGTCTACAAGTGCTGTGCTGTCTTATACTAGGTGTTAAAACATGCATGAACATACGTTTAATTCTGAAGAACTATCAGATATGATCAAGGACACTGAGATTTAAATTATGATTCCAAGATTCCAAGATAAAGCACTAATATAAAAATAGGACTTATTTCTTAATACCAGTGTGGAAGTGGATCTGTCCTCAGTCAAGCTTTCATACGAGATGGTAGCCCCAACCAGCACCTTGATTACAGCTTTGTGACAGACTCTGAAGCATGGGAACCTGCTAAACCATCCTTAATTTCCTGAACAACAGAAATTGAGAATGAGTACATATTGTTGAAATCACTAAGTTTTAAAATAATTTCCTATGTATAAATAAATAACTCATAACTATCTAGAATGTGCTTCAAATATTGGTAATCATGCCAAAAAACATTTAGTGAAAGTATGAATCAAAGAAAAAAGTATAATGGAAATAAGCAAATATTTAGAAATCAGCAATAACAAAAACATATCAAAATGGGTGAGGTGTGATCAAAAAAGTACTTAAAGAAACATGTATGGCTATAAAAGCCTACATTTAAAATAAATGTTTAAAAGCAGCCACCTGAGCCTTCACATTAAGATAGAACAACAAGAGTAAACAAAAACCAAGACAAGTAAATGAAAGGACATAAATATAAGATGAAAACCAAGAAAATGGAAAAAATAAAATAGATAAAATCAAAATAGCCAAACATTGGTACTTTTATAATGAAATTGATAAATTGCTAGCAAGTGTGATCAAAAGAAAAGAAAGAGAAATTCAAATTACCAATATCAGAAATCATAAAACAAACAATCAGCACCATAGATCCTTTAGACTTAAAAGGTTAGAAAAGGATTCTTATGAAATACATTATTTCAATTAATTTGACAGCTTAGATGAATTAGGTAAAATGTAGGGAAAGAACAACCTTCTTTTTTTATTATACTTTAAGTTTTAGGGTACACGTGCACAATGTGCAGGTTAGTTACATATGTATACATGTGCCACGCTGGTGTGCTGCACCCATTAACTCGTCATTTAGCATGAGGTATATCTCCTAATGCTATCCCTCCCCCTCCCCCCACCCCACAACAGTCCCCAGAGTGTGATGTTCCCTTTCCTGTGTCCATGTGTTCTTATTGTTCAATTCCCATCTATGAGTGAGAACATGTGGTGTTTGGTTTTTTGTCCTTGGCGATAGTTTACCGAGAATGATGATTTCCAATTTCATCCATGTCCCTACAAAGAACATGAACTCATCATTTTTTATGACTGCATAGTATTCCATGGTGTATATGTGCCACATTTTCTTAATCCAGTCTATCATTGTTGGACATTTGGGTTGGTTCCAAGTCTTTGCTATTGTGAATAGTGCCACAATAAACATACATGTGCATGTGTCTTTATAGCAGCATGATTTATAGTCCTTTGGGTATATACCCAGTAATGGTATGGCTGGGTCAAATGGTATTTCTAGGAAGTTCTGGCCAGGGCAATTAGGCAGGAGAAGGAAATAAAGGGTATTCAATTAGGAAAAGAGGAAGCCAAATTGTCCCTGTTTGCAGACGACATGACTGTATATCTAGAAAATCCCATTGTCTCAGCCCAAAATCTCCTTAAGCTGATAAGCAACTTCAGCAAAGTCTCAGGATACAAAATCAATGTACAAAAATCACAAGCATTCTTATACACCAATAACAGACAAACAGAGAGCCAAATCATGAGTGAACTCCCATTCACAATTGCTTCAAAGAGAATAAAATACCTAGGAATCCAACTTACAAGGGATGTGAAGGACCTCTTCAAGGAGAACTACAAACCACTGCTCAATGAAATGAAAGAGGATACAAACAAATGGAAGAACATTCCATGCTCATGGGTAGGAAGAATCAATATCATGAAAATGGCCATACTGCCCAAGGTAATTTATAGATTCAATGCCATCCCTATCAAGTTACCAATGACTTTCATTACAAAATTGGAAAAAACTACTTTAAAGTTCATATGGAACCAAAAAAGAGCCCGCATCACCAAGTCAATCCTAAGCCAAAAGAACAAAGCTGGAGGCGTCACGCTACCTGACTTCAAACTATACTACAAGGCTATAGTAACCAAAACAGCATGGTACTGCTACCAAAACAGAGATATAGATTAATGGAACAGAACAGAGCCCTCAGAAATAACGCCGCATATCTACAACTATCTGATCTTTGACAAACCTGAGAAAAACAAGCAAAGGGGAAAGGATTCCCTATTTAATAAATGGTGCTGGGAAAACTGGCTAGCCATATGTAGAAAGCTGAAACTAGATCCCTTCCTTACACCTTAAACAAAAATTAATTCAAGATGGATTAAAGACTTAAACATTAGACCTAAAACTATAAGAACAACCTTCTAAAAATGACACAAAAAGAAACGGAAACACCCCTTCTCTTTCCAAGCAATGAGCTATCCTTGCTTGTAAACAACATGATAGTGTTTCAGAAAACCCTACAGAATAACTTTGTAGGAATAAGAAGTAAATTTAGCAAGTTGATAGGACTCAACTGTCAAATAAAAAATTCAATTTATTTTATATATACTAGCAACAATGACAGAATTTTTTTTAAAATTAAAAATCTGTGATGAAATCTGAAAACATAAACACTTAGGAATAGATAAGGAAGATCCTTACATGAATAAAAACTACAAAACTCCTAAAAAATAAACATTTAAAATACCTAACAGATATACTGTATTCAAGAATTAGAAAACCCAATGTTGCTAAGATATCCTTAGTACAAGATGATTTATGGATCCAGCTTAAAATGAATAAAACTCCAATATGCTCTTTTTGAGATGCAGACAACTGTTCTGCATGCTGCTCTTCAAAGTGATTTGACACTTCCCCATCAAGTATTATCACCTATTTCTGTAAAACCTCAAATCTAGGGTGGTCATGTGATGACTATGAGAAATAGAATATGTTACAAGTGACATTGTGCCTAGCCCTTAAACTGGCTAGACCCATCTACTTTCTACTGCTGGGATCTCTGAGCACCATGTAAAAAGCTTGACTATTCTCTGGAGTGATCTTGTGGTCCTTCATCTAAAGGGATAGGAAGAGGGACCCAGTGCATCTCTTACTGTCATCCCTTCCAATATTATATCAATGTGAATTAAGTTATCGTGCATTTACATAAAACTCAGTTATCAGCTGAATAAAACAGTGACTTCAGTCCTTGCCACACAAAACAGAAGATATACATACCCAACAACTGCCTGAATTCCTGACTCACAAAATTTTGAAATAAAACAAAATGATGGTTGTTTGAAATAACAAAAACTGTGGAGCCCTGCACCATACATAAATACAGCACCAGAATAAAAAGTGGCACCTCAGAGTGTGGTGCTTACATAACAACAATTTGAAGTGTGTGAAATTGGCTTTAGTACCTCAAAATAGGGGGACTCCAGGATATTGTAAGTAAAGGCTGAAAATACAGACATAACTGTTCTAGAGGCTGTGAAAAAAGTGAGTCTCTATCTAGTGCCAAAAAAAAATTAGTAATTCTGTCCCCTGTAGTAAGGTAGAAAATAAAAAACCTACTTAAGTGAATAGGTGGATTTGGCTAAAATTTCCAAATAGAATATTGAAAGTCACGGCTGTTTCTTATAGCATTGTATCTTATAATAGGTCATGGATTTTTTTAAAAAGGAATTACTTAAAAGATTAACTGTTACATTTTCAGACAGAATTACAAGAAACATAAAAGAGCCAGAACTTGCTTGTTTCAAAGATAAAAATGGTTTCCCTTTCCAGTCTCTGCAAAGAGTTAAGTACTCTAAAAGTAAGAAAGGTCATAAAATTAAAAGTCATTTCAAACTTGTGGATGTTAAGACACATTGAAAAGACTTCAGAAAAATTTAATGGTGTGTCTCATACGTACTTTAAACTAGACAAACATAATTCTAAGATTCTTAAGGGTATTTTCTGACTCCACATAGAGTTTCGGCTCAAGTCTGAGAAGGGCCAGTTTCAAATATATTTGTGAATATGGTGCTTGTATATTCTAAAAAGTCTTTAAATAAATTACACTGAAGGAAGCACCATAGCCTCCCCTTTTGAACAGGAGCATCTATTTTAATTACTTATTTCTCCCTTTCTCCATTCTGTGCTAGGCATATGGAAGAAACACCGTGTCTCAAAAGATGTGTAATAGAGAAAAACCATAATTTAAAACATGCACAATACGATCTGCACCCAAGCTGCCCTACCCACTCTCACTCTACATATAAAGGTTAAAAATTTCACTGTGAAGACCTTGTCTACATACATCCTTATCTACGTGGGAAGGAACACTCTTATTCTAACTACAGTTCATTTTACACAGGAGTTTTTCTATAGCATTTCTCATCTCTGAATTTCTCAACATGCATATAAAAGGATTCAACATGGGTGTGATAACCGTATAAAACACAGTCATGAATTTATCAACAGAAAATTTGAAACAGGTCTAACATATATGAAAATACAGGAAGCAAAAAACAAGATAACCACGGTAAAATGGGAGCTGCAGGTAGACAGGGCTTTATGCCTCCCTTCCTGACTGTAAGTTTTAAGGGAGTTTAGGATGACTCCATAGAAGACTAGTAGAAGGGTGAGGATGACCATACGCATTGCTCCACCATTGAAAACCACAGTGAGGCCTATAAAGTAGGTGTCAGTGCATGCCAGTTCCAAATAAAGGGTATATGTCACAGAAAAAGTGGTCAATGACATTGGGGCCACAGAAAGGGAGACTGTACACAACAACAACTTGAAATACAGGATGCACAAAACCTCCAGTCACAGCCAACACCAAGAGAAGAATGCAAACCTGTCGATTCATGATGGTCAAATAGTGCAGTGGCTTACAGATGGCCACACAGCGATCACAGGCCATCACCACCAGAAGGAAGACCTCAGAACCACCAAATAAGTGGTCTATAAACAGTTGTCCCATGCAAGCTCAGAAGGAAATCGTCTTTTTGTCACAGAGTAAGTCTACAATCAATACAGGAGAAATGGTGGTGGAATACACAGCATCTATAAATGACAGGTGGGCAAGGAAAAAGTACATTGGGGAGCCCAAGGAAGGGCTGGCAATAATAGTCACCACAATGAGTAGGTTCCCCACCATTGTCACAATGTATGTCAGTAAAAACATGACAAATAGCGCATTTTGCACATCAGGATCCTGAGAAAAGCCCAGGAGAACAAATTCTGTACTACTGTTATTCTGTCTCATTTACTCTTCTTTCTGTCTTCTATCAGAGGTAAGAGCTCAGGAGAAAAGGTCCTGTAACAAAATAGTGAACAGGAATATGATTACATACATTGTGTCACAGAGCACATCTTCATTGTTGTATCCTGAATAGAGATTTACACACAATAAACATTTAGTAAGTCTCTGTTGAGTTCCTCATCAAAGAGGCCATCTTCCCTTGACAATTCTATTTCTCCTCAAAGATTTTAGTTTCAGCCACAGTTAAAGGCTTCCACCTCTAACTTTAATGAATATTCTATACAGAAGAAGTGTTAAAGTCCCAACAGCCATTCATACATTTCATAATTTCTTATTAAATAATTTTTCTTGGCACAGAAGTCAGCTATGATGAATAGGCAATAGGTTCTTGGTCTCTAGAAACTTACTCTCTGGTGGTGGTAATAAACTCTAAATAAGTAAACTAACTGATTTGGTCCTTTGTGTTTGTACTTGTGGTATCTTTATAATATGATCTGTGTGGCACCGAGAATAACATCTTCTGAAATATCTCACTCAGTACACCGGCCTTCTACTGTTAGACTTCATTCCTTCATGCCTCAAAGTATGTTCAGTCTTCAGTAGCCTTTCATTAAATGCCAAAAGGCAGGACTCTAAACTGTATAAATAGCTATGATATTATTTATTACATTGTACCTTGTAGCAATTACTTGGTCTAACTCTCTGTCCACCTTATAAGGAGCTGTGATTCTCTCTATTTTAACCTTGCCTATACCCTAATTTTTACTACACTTACATTCAATATCCAAATTTTCAGCAATTTATATTATTGAAATCAAGTAAACTAACTCGTGAGTATCACCAACTACCAAAGAAGCAGTGAGTACTTTTCTGTGAATTCTTGGGATGAGCTAAATACTAAAAGATGAGAAAATAGACACTATAGAAAGAGGTACAGAACAGTGGGACATGGTTTTATTCATAACAGTATTTAGATACCAAGAGTACTCAAAAACAGAACCTGAGTGTTCAGATTCCAAAAAGGAGCATACTCTAGGAGAAATTCCAAGTTCAGTGTAAGAAGGCTTGGATTCAAGTCATTTTTTGATTGTATTTCCAGGTCTCTCAGTTTGCTCACTTTAAAACAATGGGATTAAATTTGAGAAATTCAGAATCCTTCCTAGTCAACTATCTACAAAACCATTAGTGCACCTCTCCTTTATGGTATTCTTGTGATGATTTTTTTTCATTTTTTATAAATTTATAATTAAATAAAAATTTCCAAGCTCATGACTCTTACATGAAAAATGGTAGTCAGTGGGACATGGGGTTTCATGATTACAGTGAGTAAATAGTGACTGTAAGTTTCTCACTCAGTATGTACCTATTTAAGATCCAAGGCAACCTTGAAGAGAAAGTGTAGCATGTGGTGAATAATGTGGACACTAAAGCCACACTGCTTCAGCTAAAACTGCAGGTTCACCACTTTTTATGAGACTTTGGGCCATTTACTAAAGCTCTCTATCCCTTAGTTGCATCACTTTTACAATGGAGATCTCAATAGTCCTTACCTCTTAGAGTTGTTGTTTTATTAAAACAAAGTGAAGTGCCTAGAATACTGGCTGGTACCTGGTATAGACTCAATAAATGATAGCTATAATTAGTATTCTTGAATGCTTCACTGGGAACATAAAATCAGAACAAATCATGCAGATCTTTGTCAACGTGAAAAGATTTATAGACATAGTCCAGGAAAAAAGAAGGATAAGATACGTATAATTCAGGAAAACCTTTTGGGGGCACATAATATAATTGTATGTCTTAGAAAATAATGATACAATTTTATGAGTAGTAATTTTACCTGTGGTTGAATGCATCTTGATGAGAAGCAAGCAGAATTATAGTGAAAAGGTTGGACCCACCATCAGAAAGAGCTCAGGAAATGAAAAGGAGGATAAAATGGCAAAAGGAGAAATTGTAGTTAATAAATGAGTTTTTGCAAGCAATAAGAAGATTAATAATATACTTAACTGAGGCTGGTATTCCTTTAAAATCTTCTTCAGAAAGTTTCCTTTTCGTGAGGAAATACTGAAAGTGCAACTTCCTGTGGGTCCCTGGGGTGACTCTGGAGGCTTTTGGAGGTAGCCTTAAAAAACACAGATAATCCTAGTTTAAAAAAAAAAAAAGAAACGAAAATTCAAAAGAAAAAAAGAACACATTGTTTCTCAAAGTCTCTAGATATGATGGTTAAGGACAAACTTAAATCAGAGAGAAGAGTGGGACAAGTAGAGATACAAACCCAGACTTTCTGATTAAGCACTGCTGAGGAAAACTGCAGAATTACTAAACCTCAAATTTAAACAGGATTATTCTATTTAAATAAATCTGGCAGTGGAAGAGGACGTGCGCAGAGAGAATTTGAGCTGTTTCTAGAAGCCAGCTGTGATGCACATTCCACATGTCTCATTCACATTACCACTTCCAACTGATTCCAGAGTTCTGGCATTGTTGAAGCTATAGACCGATAGAGACACACGCGCTGAAGAATACAAGAGAATAATGTAGTCTATAAACAATTCTGTTATTTTTTCACACAATACTTGCTGCAAGGTTTAGTGCCTTTTCCGGCTTACATCATCAAACTAGATTTCAATAGGATAATTCTTTCAGCAACTTAAATGTTTACTTATAAAAAACAGGGTACTTAAACTATTCTCTATAGTTTAAGTAATTAAAAATACTATACTTTAAAAACTAAAAGCATCACTAGGCCTTCAATGTAAACTACTAAGTTAACATTTTTCTACAAAAACAATGATTTAACATAGTTTTCTAAGAACATGACATTTTCAAAAGATAAAATTTGGTATGACAAAAAAATCTGTAACATTATATTTCACAGTCACAGTTTTATAAATCTATTTAAATGACAGTAGACTAGGTACTTTCCTCAGCATATTTATCTACTGATATGTTTTCTGGGATAACTTTTAGATTCTTAAGTAAAAACCCATATTATGCTTCCAGAACATAACAGATATTGGTTCCTTCACACTCTAACACACTTGACATGATCTGCAATTTTAAACTCTGAAATCAAATATATCTGAAAGTAATTGTACACCTTTATTAATATATCATATAAAATACAACATCCCATAAACTACGATTATTATTATAAACCTACTGTTTATTATACATACAATATGGACTGTTTTTCCTCTTATTTGCCAAATGGAAAAGGAAAAGAGGCTATATATTAAAATCAAATATACATTCCATATTGTGAACCAGTTTCATATTTGCTAGCTTAACTTTCACAATTAGAATTCATTCAAAAACATCATATGGATTTAAGACATTAGCTACATTTCAACATATCACAAACATTTTCAATGAATATCTCCTGTCAGTGGTTTCACATAGTCACATCATGGTCCAGAAAAACAATGCTTCTTTCACTGAGCATTATTGTAGATACCTCATGCATCTATGTGTATCACAAAACACATGAAATTGATGGCTGATCCACGGATATAGAAATAGTGCCAAGAGGCTACAGTTCCCACAGTTCCAAACAGGCTTCTCATTATCTTAGTCATTAGAGAAGTATGGCACTATCCAAAGCAGATGAGCAAAATATAAAGATGCTTGAACATAATGTAGAAAGGTAGCTAAATATTCTCACCTGCTGGAAAATTTCTTCATAGAAAAACAAAGGCACTATCTTTGCATGACTACGTAAAAATTGACCTAATTAGTGGAAATTCACCTGCATAAGTCAGTTATTTTGTGACACAGGTAAATAAAAATGCACCTACTCTAAAATTTTTTATGTGAAAGTTTACTTGATTATGGTGAAGCAACAATAAGTACTTTCCTGTGACAGAGGATTTATGATAACCTTCATGTGCCCAGCTATTAAGCTTTGTACCTAACAAGGAAAATGCTGAAATTTAATTTCATGGAAAAACCAATGACAGAGCTTTCTCACAGGCAGAAGCCAAACTTTTCAATCTTTCAGTCATTCAAATGTCATTCAAATAGCATACACCTAAGTCCACTTCCTTCCTAATTAAAAATATGTCCCCATGTCTCCCCCACCTCATCCCAGTAAATTGAGAACTTTCGCAATTTTTTACAAGAAATGGAGGATATGACATAAAACATCACACCTAGAGGACTCAATACCAGCTGAAAACATACTCTACCTTGGGCAGAAATTTAACTCTTCAGATATCTGTTGCGTTATTCTATCAGGAAAATGTTCCATTTATAGGTGTAGACAAAATCTATGACTCTTACATCATCACTATTTTAAATAAAAGAGACAGTAAGGTCATTATAGATTAGGTAATTTGAATATTTGGAATGAATTCAAATGCAGTAATCCCTTTGAACACTTTTTTCCCTCTTATAAGTATCTCTAGAGGAAAAAGACTTGGTCTCAGCAGGGAACAGTAACTAATTGCCAAGTAATGTGAAAGGCCTATAATGTGAAAAATATATTCTAAAGTAAATTGAACAATAAATTATCTTTCACATTATGAAATACTGAGGAAAGACAAGTAATATTTAAGCCAGAATGAAGGGGAAAGCAGCCCCAGGTTCTCTTCCCTAAGCATATTCCCAGCAAGGAGGGCCTTATCCTTCCTGTTAGAAAGTCCATTCCCAAGAAGCCCTGAGGCTCAGAGGCAGAGAGCCTAAGAATGGAAGTTGACATTCTGATTCTTGGAAAAGTAGGTCATCTCAGTTCTGCAGATTTAGGTTAGAATACAGGCTTTTGATCAAGGCTTGAATCTATGTCAGAATCTATGTCCATTAATTCAATCCTTTAATTTTATTCCAATATCAATTCAATAACTGTTCCTACAATACAAACATTTTTATTTGCCAACAAGAGAACAGTGCTTAAGGGCTGCCTTTGTTATTTCCATGACTTGGCTTACCATTGGCTCCACGGAACACCTTCATCTTATCATATGTTTAGTTAAATATTGGATCTTCTGTGTCAAAAGAGCCTTAGATAAAGAGTCTCATAAATACCTATCTGAGCCAGATAAGGTCTTTATCATGTAACAGGCTCCACTAAAAGTTGGTCATTTTCAACTAACCTAATAAATGGATTAAATTCATCTACCCCAAATGTAATATGTATTACTGCTAAAATTTGAAGAGAATGTCTGTAAGTGCTGTGTTCTCTTAATGGTAAGTGGTAAAAGATGCACAAACATAGCTTTAATTCTGAAAACTATCACATATGATCAAAGATACTGTGGCTTAAACTATGACTCCAAGACGGAGAACTAATACAAAACTAAGCCATAATTCTCTACATCCCTTCTAGCTGAATTCAAATATCTACTATGCTTTCCACTTCTCTGAATGACACAAAAGTGTTTGTCGTATGATACCTACAACAGCACAGAATCTGAATGTATTTGCTCCAATAATAAAAAATTATTCAAAAATAATCATGTACAAATACAAAAATTAATGTAGAAATTGCCAAAAAATCCATAGTTCATAGTATTGTCTGCAATCCATACGTATTACCAAATTAGAGAGTGAAATATAGACACAATATATATTTATTGTTTTAAAAGGAGAAATGCATATGTATTAATCTGTACTCACATTGCTAGAAGGAATTACCCAAGAGTCATTAATTTATAAAGAAAAGAGGTTTAATTAACTCACAGTTCCACATTATTGGGAAGGCCTCAGGTAACTTGCAATCATGTCTCTTCACAGGGCAGGAGGAGAGACAATTTGTGCAAGCAGGAGAAATACCAGACACTTATAAAACCATCAAATCTTATGAGAATTTACTCACAATCATGAGAACAGCATGGGGAAACCACATCCATGATTCAATTACCTCCCACTTGGTCCTTTCCATGACACATGGGCATAATGGGGATTATAATTCAAGACGTGATTTGCACAGGGACACAGCCACACCATATCAGCATGTTATGTAGTCACAGCTATTTTTAAGACTGAGGTGGGAGAATCCCTTGAACCCAGGAGTTTGAGTCCAGCCTGGGCAACATAGCAAGACCCTGTCTCCAAAAAGAAAAAGAAAGCTAGAGATCAGAACCCCACATTTAGAGTCTCTTTTCTCTAAAAGTGAAATAATTCTAAAAGCCATAAACGAACACCTGAAAAGTTGTGTGAAACTTTCTGTAGATGATTTACCCTAAGTGACAACATGTAAAATTGAAGGTCTACCAAGGAAAAGCATCCTTTGTAAACAGCAAGGCTTTCATTTGAGACCCCAGGAAGATTTACTCATGGAGTAGGAATGCACAGACAATGGGGCAGTCCTCAAAGGAACGGAAGTCCAGCTTGCATCATCTGATTTCTTGATTGGATTAAGACTATCTGGGATTTTTTACTTCTCCAATCCCAACTCTTGAGTAGAAATACAAGAAATTCTCTCTTAAAGAAAAAAAAATCCGAAAAAATTCTTGAATTGCCACATTTCATATGCAAAATCAAGCACTCAAAAAAAGTAACAAAGTATAGAAGACATGGACTGATTGAAAGCTGAGTGCAATAAAAACAAATATACATGGTCCAGTTAATGAATAAGCATTTTTAAATAAGCTGTGTATGTACAAATACTAAAACACAAGATAGATAATAAAATGAACCAAATAAATTGAAAAACTAAAATATATAATAACAAATTAAAAACACAATGGTTGGATTTAACAGTAAATTAGATAAAAAAATAGAGAATTAGTAAACTGCAAGAAATATTAGAAGAAAATATGCAGACCAAAGCAGAGAGCAAAAAAAGCAAATACAGAAAACAGTATAAAACAGATATAAAGGACACAGTGCAAATCTCTGACATGCTTTTAATTTAATTACAATCCCAGTAAAAGGAGAGAAAGAGAATCAGGTAAGCAAACTATTTGAAGAGATACAGCTGAAAATTCTCTAAAACTGCTCAAAGATACTAAGCTATGAATTTATAAGGCGTTAAGAGTTTCATGAAGAATGAATTTTAAAAGAATAATTTGTTTAAAGAGGATAAACGAAAAACGGACAGCAGAATAAAAGCCAAATACATACAAAAATTTTAAGAACATACTGCATTCAAGAAAATTTTAATAAAGCCAGGCGTGGTGGCTCATGCCTGTAATCTCAGCATTTTGGGAGGCTGAGGCACTTGGGCCAGGAGCTTGAGACCAGACTGGCCAACATTGTGAAATCCAGTCTCTATTAAAAATACAAAAATGAGCCAGGTGTGGTGGCAGGTACCTGTAATCGCAGCTACTAGGGAGGCTGAGGCAGGAGAATTGCTTCACCCTGGGAGGTAGAGGTTGCAGGAGTCAAGACGGCACCACTGCACTCCGGTCTGGGTGACAGAGAAGACTAAGGAAGGAGGGCAGGAAGGAAGGAAGGAAGGAAGGAAGGAAGGAAGGAAGGAAGGAAGGAAGGAAGGAAGGAAGGAAGGGAGGGAGGGAGGGAGGGAGGGAGGGAGGGAGGGGAAGGGAAAGATAAGAGAAAGAAGAGAAAGAAAGAGAAAGAGAGAGAGAGAAAAAAGAAAATAAGACTGACAAACTATTTTTTTTTTTTTTGAGACAGAATCTCGCTCTGTCGTTCAGGCGGGAGTGCAGTGGCGCCATCTTGGCTCACTGCAAGCTCCACCTCCCGGGTTCATGCCATTCTCCTGTCTCAGCCTCCCGAGTAGTTGGGACTACAGGCACCCGCCACCACGCCTGGCTAATTTTTTGTATGTTTAGTAGAGGTGGGGTTTCACCATGTTAGCCAGAATGGTCTCGATCTCCTGACCTCGTGATCCACCCGCCTTGGCCTCCCAAAGTGCTGGGATTACAAGCGTCAGCCACCGTGCCCGGCCCAAACTACTTCTTGAAAGATGCAATGAAAACCAGAAGACAAAAGAAATACATCTTCACAGTGATGAATGAATATAAATATCGACATAGAATCCATTTAAAATCTCACAGAAGTGAATGTAAAATGCAGAGTTTTTGACTAATTAAGAAAACATTCAGAGATTCTAGAACCAGCCACAGACTACAGAATAAGAGCTCTAAAGAATGATCTTCAGAGAGAAGGAAAAAGCTCTGAAATGGAAAAAAGGAAATGCAGGAAAGAAGAAAGACTAATTGAAAGAAGAAATATAAGAATAAATGATATGAATATTAAACATAGTTAACATTAATAAATACGAAACCAAGAGAAACGTGGTGGATTTAAATTCAATACATAATTAATTTTATCTTTTTAAAGGAGCAACTTTCTCCTATTTAAAATTAGAAAACAATGGTAAGAGTCTTGTAAGAGAAACATCTTAAGTAAGAGGATAAAAAGGTAAAAATATATTAATAGACTAAACTGCATAAACTATGACCAAAAGGACACTATTTCCATGCTAATATCAGACAAAACTGGACTTCAAGGCAACAAATATTGCCAGAAATAAATTTTTGTAATGGCAAAAGGTTAGTAACATGAAGATAAAATTATAAATTGGTATGCACCCCAAAGCACAACTTTATAAGTTATTTTTTTAAAAAATAGATGGACCTAAAAGTAGAAATAGGCAAATCAGCAATAATACAGGAAGATTTTAGCACAATTTGAACAGCTAGAAAATACACACAAAAAATTTATAAAGATATGTAATATTTAAACAAAACCATTAATAAATTTGACCCATTGACATAAGAGATTATCACGTAACAACTGCAAAATACACATTCTTTTTCAGGAACATATGAAACGTTTTCAAAAATCAATCATATGCTGTTTGATAAAGCAATGCTTAATGAATTTCAAATAATCCTAATAATAAAATATGTCACTGAACATGAAGAAAATCAGCTAAAAAGTGAAAAACTACCAATTAGCCAGAAATTTTCTGTGGTTCAACATTAAACAAATCACTTCTAAATAATCCATTTGTAAAAATAAATCACAGAAGTTAGAAAATATTTTGAGCTTAATAATAATGAAAATACGACGTATCAAAGCTTGTAAGACTCAGCTAAAATATTACTTGCATTTGCTAGAAAATAGTAAAGACTGAAAATCAATGCACTAAATATCTATTCAAGACATCATTACTCTTAGCATAATTTCCTCTAGGTACATCCGTGTTATTGCATGTGATATAAAAACATCACACTGTACTCCACAAATACATACAATTACTGTTTGTCAAATAAAACCAAAATAAAACAGAGGTTATTAAGTCTTCCAGGTTCATTCATGTTGTCAAAAAGAGCAGAATGTTCTTTTGAAGGGTTAAATAATATTTTATTATGTAATATTATTGCATTAAATATACAAATATGGAGGTCAAAATGTATAAATTTTCATTTATATTGGATGAAGTAATACTGGTGATCTAAGGTACAGCATAATGACTGTAGCTAATAATACCATATATTATGTGAGTATATCTGTGCATGTGTACATTAGATAGATGAAAGATAGATAGAGAGATAGATAGATAGATAGATTGATAGATGTCACATTGCCTTTATTCATTCATATGCTGGTGTGCGCCAAGTTCCCTGCTTCTTGCTTCTGCGTCCCCAGGGAAGCCCTAGCTCCTGCCCCCAGCCCGGTGGAAACCTCCCTTCTTTTACATTATTGTTTGTTTTTATTTTAATTTTTTAGGACATTGATAAAATCACTTTCTGATTTTTGAGATTAAAAATTAAATAATTTTCAAGTTTACACTTTTTAAAATTTTTCACTATTTTAATGCTTTTATTTTTTGTATATTTTAATTATTGTAGTTTATATCTTCAATTATTATGGAAGATTTTAGAAAAGTCTTTTCACATAATGAATTCTAATTATTTAACTATTATTTATTCTCTTCTCTATCTCAAATATGAACTTTAACCTTTTAGAACACTTTATGTTTTGAGACTCTTGTTACTCATGTGACATTTTAACTATTATTCTTCACTCTTCTAGTGAATTTTTAATGTCACTCAAAGGGTACATCTTTTTATAGTGAGAATTAAACAGTTCTCAAAAATATTCTCAAGTATTAGGAATTTCACCTTCCAATGGTATGTTAAGTATGTTCTCCTTCCCTTCTAATCCATATTCCCCGCCCCCCACCCCCTGCTAATTTTGTATTTTAAGTAAAGACAAAGTTTTACCATGTGGAACAGGCCAGTCTTGAACTCTTGACCTCAAGTGATCCACCTGCCTAGGCCTCCCAAAATGCTGGGATTACAAAAACAGCAACTGAATGATGGAATGGTGACTGGGAACTTGTCTAGAGTCTCCATTGATTATCCTCCTCATAACAAGACAGAAAGCCTTCCTCAGAATTATCTGGACTGACATTACTCATTGTCCAGACCTGTTAAGAGACTCCTGCAACCAGACCTGTGAGTCTCAAATGTGCTCTTCAATAATGCAGTAGAAGGACTGAGTTTCCACATAGTAGCATCCTTGAATGCCCAGAGAATTTTAAGGCATAAGAACATACTGATCCTATGAACTGTATGTTTTGTAAAATCTCAGGTTATGTGAGGTGTTTGGACAAATTAAGTTTCAGGGTGATATCCACTATTGAGACAGAAAATTAGTCTAAAGAATTAAGACCTCAAAGTCCAGAATGAGAAAAAAAATTGTTTTGCTTAGAGCCTCCTCATAATTGTCTTACTTGTTTTGTAGATATAAGCACTAGAGGAAAAGCTCTACCTGATATAGCTGGCCTAGACACATGCAGATTTATTAATTGTAGAAGAAAGAATTATACTTTTCAGGTAACATGGCTACCAAAAATAATTAGTTGCTGTTTTTGAGACAAGTTCTCACTCTGTCACCCAGGCTGGAGTGCAATGGCACAATCAGAACTCACTGCAGTTTTATGCTCCTGGACTCAAGCAATCCTCCCAACTCAGCCTCCTGAGAAGCTGGGACAACAGGTGCACACCACCACTAATTTTCTAATTTTCTGTTTATTTTTTAGTAGAGATAAGGTCTTACTATATTGTCCAGGCTGATCTCAAACTCCTGGCCTCCATTGATTTTTCTGCCTTGGCCTGCCAAAGCACTGAGATTGTAACTATGGCCACTGTAACCAGCTTTAGATCAATTTTATTTCATACAGATAGCTTCCCAACTAAAAAATTTCATTAGAATTCCCTTAATTCAGCAAAGCAATGTTATTACTGATCCAGTCTTCACTTATTGTCAGCTTACATGCAGGAACAAAATTACCTTCATTTTTAAATTTGTTTTATTTTATATTTTCAAGGCGCACAATATGTCATTTTGAGATACATGTGCATAAGGAAATGATCACTATAATGAAGAAAATTAACAAATCGATCATATCACTTAGCTCTGCTTCTTCTTGATGATAAGAACACCAAAAATCTAGTCCCTCAGAATATTTCCCAAAAACAATACAAGATTATCTAATATACCTACAGGTTGTACATCAGATTCATTTATTCTACATTACTGCACCTTTACAACTTTTGCCCTTCATTTACCTATTTTCTTCCCACCAATATAACCACCTTTTTGAATGTATTAAACTTATAAAAATAGATTTCAAATATGAGTGGGACCATGAAGTATTTTTTCTCTGTGTGTCTGTCTTATTTCACTTAGGAAACCTACCATTTACATGTCTCCTAAATTTAGTACAGAAATAAAGTGCTAGCCAAGAATGTGTCTCTGTTTTGTTAGATTAATTTTTTTCCAAGTTATCCTCTTTATCAATTTTTACTTTTTGTACCATAGAAGAGTGAAAATTCTTGTATTAAAAAAAACTGTAACCAGGCTATTGATAAATAACTTCTTTTAGGGATAAAAATCTCAGGAAGTTCAAGATTTATGTATTAATGATTGACAATGTTCTTAGTGTTCTCTCTTTGATTTATTTCAATTGTAAGTAAGTCTTGGTGATATTCTAACATAAATTCTGATAGGTGAAGAGAATAAATAAAGTAAGTATCTCTAGGAGAATCAATATGATAAGATTATCTTGGTTAAATGGCTAAGAAAATATGGTAAATAGACACAAAAACTGTTTCATCTTCCAAAATCAGAGTCAAATACTAAGTGATCGTAGAGTAGCTAATTCTGTCTTTCTGCCAAAGTGAATCTGAGCTAAAGTAGAAGAATGTCAGGAATAAATTTTTCCTTGAAATCTAGCAACAAATAATGTAATTAAATTTTGAGGCTTTGATTGTTGCATAGAGTTTTAGCATCAACAGAAAAGCTCGCAAAACATAGGTGACAATCAAAAAGGAGTGCTGGGTTGGAGACCTAAGGTGAGTAATTTTATCATCTCAGATCACTTGGAAAAAAGCAGCGAGTCCAAAAGAAGCTGGTAATAAGCTTTCTCTCTGCTAAGCCCTAATCTTCTGCATGAAATATGTGGAGGCAGAAGAGAGACAGTTTATTATAGTCTACGTGGCATAGAGTGAAGGAATAAGAGAATATTTCTGATAAGTATTTTCAAAATTTGGAGAATCATTCCTATCCAAATCGTTCATTTAAGGGACTAAATCACAAATAAGATGTTTCTTGCCACATAAGCCTCAGCTAGCCAGGCTCTAAAAAGGACAACACTGGACACCTCGACAGTGGTAAAAAGCAGGGTTTACTCACTCTTGAGTAACTAAGAACTGGTGCTAACCTTAGGCAGCAGCTTATCTATTTGGTTGAGGTTCAGCTTTGTTTCATTGAACAAATCTCTTGGGTTATTCTCAGTTGTGCCAGTCATTTAATTTGTTCTGAATTAAATGATAAGAATAAATATGGCTTAGAGTGCAAACAGCATTCCCAGATACATTACAACTTGGTGTCCCATCTGCCTAATTTTGAACCTATAGGACGGGAATAAAAGCATTGTGAGAAACACCAGGTGATTTCCTTAAAGCCAAATACTCTTCTCCCTCCTACTTTTCTTCCGGCTTTCGTGCTGCATGGGACATGGCAATAAATTGGAGTTTCCTGCACACAGAGGTAAAATTCACTTGTTGAAGATGTCAGTCTTCTTCTTGACCAACTCCTATATTGGTACAAACATGTTAGAGAAATGCACCTTCTGAATCATTTCTAAGTCAGTAATATATTTTGGGGTGTTTAACATGTATAAAATAATGAGTGATTCATTTACATTTAGGTTAATTTGAGGACATGGCAAGATCAGAAGTTTTGGGAATCTAGGCTCACATTAATAATATTTTGAGGTCACCTCATTTGGGTAATAGGTTCTGGGAAAGATGACTGAGTAGGTTATTTGAAGCTACCACAGAGCATGGACTTTCTGGGCCTCTTCTCCCTTCACTCCTGGAGAGAATGTCTTCAAGACTCAGACTTTACCAGGACATTAATTAATGACAAAACGACTCACTGGGTTTTTCATTACAGAAGAGATAGAAAATGCTTTCCAGATGGTAAGGAAATAATATCTTTAGAAACTGACTCCAAATTTCACACTGAACTTAGTGAAAGGTGCATCTTGTGAAATGTCCTACATATTTCTGTTTTTCTTACAGGGTTTTGGAGACATATTACACAGGTGAGTATTTACCTAGATTTTAGCATATATTCTTTCAGTTTCCATGAATATCAAAGCAGGCTCTACCAAAGTCATGGCATAAATGATTAAGATATTGATACTACCTTTTTTTTTGCATCTGCTTTCACTCTCACACCAAAAAAGACAAGAACACTAAATAAATAAATAAATAAATAAATAAATAAATAAATAGTGAAATAAAAAAATGTTTATTACTGATTTTGTTTTATTGCTTAAAAGCCTGCATAGGTGAAAGATAAAGTTTTATTTTCTGGATGGTGAGAAAGTCACCAGAGGAAGCAGGAGAGAAGTGGGGGAAGAATTTTAGCAGTGAAAAAGTTGATGATTTGTTGTTCATACCTACATACATATCAGTTAACAGTCCTGAAAAATAGGTTGAAAAAACTGTAGAGTGTTAGAACTGTATAAGTCTCTAGGGAAGCTTGTTTCTAAAAGGCAGGTCTAGCTGCTTAGAACAAGTTTCACATTCTTTATCTTGAAAAGGAAGCAGCAGATGCAGCAGTCTCCCCAGAACCCAGCTATTTCAGACAAAGATGTCAGTGGAGTCTGCCAAGAAGTGGAACTCAGAATTTCATTTCTAAATATTCTCAAGGCCATAAGGCTAAGGATACTTACACATGTGGGGCAGAAAAAAAGAAAGATCAGACTGAATTCTGACTCAGACTCTCCCACTATGCTTTAAAATTTGGAAACTGTAAATAGAAATTAATTCCAAAAAGGAAGGAATAATTTTTGAATAATCAAATTTGTTGATTCAAAGGATTCTCATGAACTGTATTTTAAATAGAAATAGTTATTTTTATTTATTTTATGGCTGTAGATGTTGTAACTGCAGGTTTTTCCTTGCAGGAGTGAGTCCGTGCTGCTGCACATGCCCCAGCCTCTGAATCTAGAGCTCAGGGCAGGGCCCATCACTGGACTGAGGGACAGGCTCATGCAATTCTGAGGTAAGTCTCCACCCATAGGTAGCAATCCCACTATCTAAATATTATTATTGTTAGGACCACATAGGTAATATTTCACCCTTTATCAAATATTTTACTTTTTTATAGACGTAAGTGGACAACATAATCATGCAACCCTTCTGTATCTGTGTCTGTACAGTCAGATTTATAGCATTAAGTTTGAAAGATAGTGAAAAACAAATACATTTTGGCCTCATATGTACTGAGTAATGTAATGGGAAAAAGGAGTAGTGTAGCAAATTTAAAAAAGGAGCAAATTGAACAATGCTCAGAATGAAGGTGAGTTATTTAATGTTAAATACAAAATTTTACGTTTCCTTAGTGTATTCATTTGAACAGCTAAGAACTGTTGTTTTGGGGATTATGGTTTACTGGGGATTGCTGGGGGTTTTTAATTTTTTAAATGGATATGTATCATGAATTGCCAAAAAAAAATTAGTTAATGGGTCAACATAAAAAGAAGAAATCATTTTGTGAATACAAGTAAAATTACAAACAAAAAGAAGTTCAGTTTAATTGCAATATGAAAAGCTACAGGTTAAGTTTAAAATCCAGCTTCAGCCCCAAGCTAGCATGGAGGACCACAGAGAGACTGGTAAAAGATTTTACAGAAATCTGCTTTAAATTGTCACTTATGACATGTACTTACGGATTTTTATCCAGTCATCAAGAGCAGTTCTTGAGTAACTGAAAATCTTCACATTCTTTCCAAAATGATAGCACTAGTTTTTAAGAATAAGAAACATTTCTAAATAATGATCTTGATAACAGCATAGCATTTAGGGCATATAATGTGCAAATTTTGCTTTGAAAATTGGATTGAAAGAAGTTGGTCTTACATTTGGCTCTCAATATGTAAGTTTTCAAAACATTTTTAATATCTGTGGTTAGTGTTTTGTTTGTCTTGTAGTTAAAATTAATCATCTCTATGCTTTATTAGAAGTTACAAGCAAAATTGTCCTTGTGACTTTACATTTCCTGGTAAATTAACTTCTTGATAGAACAATTTTTGCTTATTGACACATGTCTATGCATGTTTTGTTTCTTTCTCATTTATTTATTTATTTATTTATTTTCGCAGTGGATATTACTCTGAATCATGATAAGCCAACAGTCATATCTTTCGATGTGGAGATTTGAGAAGCATGTGTATTGGATGTGACCATCCAAATCCACCCCATATCACTGCAACACCTACAAGTTTTCTTGCATGGGGTGCTCAGACTTTCACCTCTGGCAAATATTACTGGGAGGTCCATGTGGGGTACTCTAGGAATTAGGCTTTTGGTGTCTGTTATAAGTATTGGAAAGGGAAGAATCAGAATGACCATATATATGGAGAGGAGGGACTCTTTAGTCTTGGATGTGTCAAGAACATCATTCAGTGCAGTCTCTTTACCACCTCCCCACTTACACTGCAATATATCGCAAGACCTACCAGCCACATAGGATTATTCCTGGATTGTGAAGCCAGAACTGTGAGCTTCCTTGATGTTAATCAAAGCTGCCTTATATACGCCAACCCTAATTGTGCCTTCTCACCTCCTCTCAGGCCTATCTTTCGGTGTATTCACCTCTGACCAGAGATAAATCAGAAATGTGTTCATCTGCTGTGAGAACCCCTTTATTCCAGAAAGCTCTCTTCCTTGTGCCTTATCAAACAGGACAAATAGGTTCTGTTTTATGTCTCGAATTGCCTCCTAATGTTATTAAAACTCATTTATTGTGTTACTATTAAAAATGGTAAAAACACCAAAAGTATATGTATTGGTTCTTTATTAATTTTTGAAAAACCATTATTCATGATCATGGCATAAAATATATTCTGGTTTTTTTCTTCATTTCTGAATGCCACTGAGTGAAATAATAGATGACAGACATGTCTGAATGGAGTTAAAATCAATGGAAGAGAATTGGGATCTTTTGCTTCATGCAAAACTTGGAGTGAAGTCTTAATGATAGCTGGGAAATGTTTTTCTTTCTCTTTACCTAACTATACTGCACTTATCCATCACATTTCATTTTACTAATCTATCCTTTGAGTTAATATTATTTGACCTTCCATGCTGGGCTTCATTTTGGAATTCTCACCACATAGATAAATAATCCCGCATTATTAGTGTGCTCTTCTACATTGAAATACACAAGGTGGTCAGAACAATGCTGGATTAATTGAATTTTAAAAAATAACTAAATATTGACTCCTACCTCAAAACACACACAGTCATTTCCAAATAGATTCCAGTTCTGAAGGTAAGGGGAACATGATACAATATTCTCATAAGGATTTCTTAACCAGGACAAAAATTAACAATTAAAAAAATTAGTTGGTTTATATTAATGACGACTTCTGTGTTTCAAAAAACATGATACAAGAATTGAAATGCAAACAATTAGTGGAGAAAGATATTCACCCGAACATATATAAAATAAAATACAATACATGTGCATGATGAATACTTAAAATGTATTTTAAGTATTTTTCCAGATTCTTCCAGAGTGGCATAGAATAAACTTGGATGGCAGAGTCAATGATGAGATTAGCTGTGGAAATGGGAAACCGTTTTTTGGAGGACAGTAGTAATGCTGTGAACTTATGAAAACAACCAAGTATTCAGTAGCAACTAAAATGTGTCTCCATAAGATCATTTTACAGATGCATATCTGAAATCTGAAATTTGGGAGAACATTCTACTAGTGTTCTCTAGTGAAGAAATACAGCTGGAAGGAAGAAGGGAGGGAAGATGAAGGACAGAGAAATAGAGCGCAGTTGAGAGAAAATGCTATTTAGACTAAAATAGAATACTGGGGATACCACAACAAAGTGCTTAAGGTGTGTCTTATGGAGCAGAAATGGCAGAAAATACCACAGTAAAGAGATTTACCATTGGATTGTTAGTTCCGGCTTTTATTCTGTCAATGTTGTGGCTTCTAAACACATCAGTAATCTCCTTTGATCCATGTGCTAATTAACAACCAACACTCTGCCCCCTCTTCCAGATTCTTCCATCGTTTTAAACCTAATCTAATTCTAATCCAGCTGGTCACTGTAACACATGTAATCACCTAAGAATTTTAAAAATATTTTTGATGAATAAATGAAAAATTAGCTAGGTGCAATGGCATAAACCTCTAGTCTTTTTTACTTTGAAAGCTGAAGTGGGAGGATTACTTGAGCCCTGGAATTCAAGGCTGCGGTGAGCTAAGATTGCGCCACTGCACTCCAGAGGCTGAAACTTTCTTTGGTATAAATAAATAAATAAATGTGCACTTAGAGGAATGCTTGTGTCTTTGGAAGAAATTCAGGAAACAGCATTAATCAATTTCAGTCAATTTCTAGCATGTTTACTCTGATAAGATTGATGATAGATATGCCTCATTCAGGCAGTGGTTTTTACAATGATAGTGTGATGCTAATTTAATCAGTGATGAAAAGGCATGTACTACATATTGCATAAACCTAATCATCTCTGTCTCCACCTTTCTTAACACCCTAAATATCACTAAATAGGTGGTTGTGGTCTTCAAAGATTCACCTAAATGGATGTAGAAGAGACAAGCTCATATTTCTCCAGAGGAGGACAGCACTTAGAGTTAACTGCGTTCAGGTGATGACCTCTGAAAGTCAACTCAGCAGGGAATGAGCTCCTGATCTTGGGGAGTACTTAAAAGAATTTTTTCTTGGAAGAATTACTGCAGGAAACATTCATAGAACCTTGGGGTGAGTGCAACTTCTATGGAGAAAATTACTTCTCTCTTCCTTTAAAATAGTAAATTACAGTGATAAAAATATCTAACTGTCTAAACTTACTGAATGATCTTATTTGTAACTCATATTATTGCTATTCATTTTATGACATGAGGTTATTAATTGTTGTCATTTTGTATGTTCCAAAAGTGTTTAATATATTTTTGAAAAATTTTAGATATCTAGTGTTTGCTGCAATATATATGTATGAATCATGAATATATGGAATTCACATTAAAACATATATATGTGTACTGAATGTACTAATATTGCTACACTTAATTAAGTAAAAAAGGATAATTATTGAATACTGTAAATGTTGTGCTTTCATAACCTGAAGCTTTTAGACATGATTTTAAGCTACTGAGGCAATGATGAGTTAAAAATGGTGATACTAAAGGAAATAAGAATGCTCCCAAAAATACCTTAGCTTAGAAATCAAAACACAATTGTTTAGCAGATAACTGTATAAGGAATGATTTGATACTTGATACTAGTTGTCATTTTAACTGAGGCTTACCTCAGATGAAACTATGAAAAATTCCTTGAAATGGCTCAGATGACCTCTGAAAAATGTTTGCAATTCTTAAATTTTCACTGTTGGCACTTAAATTCAGCAGTGTTTAGTAAAAGAGAGTAAGGTAAAGGACTTCAAACTGCCAAGGCAAAGATTACATTTTGTATTGGTCAGGGTTCTCCAGAGAGACAGAACCATAGGATGTGTTCATAACTATATATATATATATATATATATATATATATATATATATCTCAAAAATACTTACAATTGTGGTACAATTGCCTTCGTATACCATACAGGTTTGTAGCCTAGGAACAATATGCTATATTATATACCATAGGTGTGTAGTAGGCTATACCATCTAGGTTTGTGTAAGTATACCCTATGATGTTCAAACAATAACGAGACTGTCTAATGCGTCCCTCAGATCATATATCTGTCCTCACTCTACACATGACACTGTACAGGAGAGGAAGTCCACTAGGGGAATTTGTTCCCTTGATTATGAAGTCTGAGAAGTTGAACATAGGCTGTCATTAATGTTGTGTCCTGGAGATACCGATTTCCTGGCTGAGTTAGAATCAGCTTCAAGAGAAGGAGAGGAAACTGCTTTCTCTCTGCCCTTTATCTTCAGTCTGAGCTACCAGCTGATTGGATAGTGTCCACCCACATTGAGGGCTGCTGTTCCTCACTCAGCTCACCAACTTACATGTCTCTCTGGAAACACCTTCACAGACTCACCCAGAAATAATGCTTTACCAATTCTCCATGTATTATTTAGTCCAGTCAAGTCAACACTTAAAATTAACCATAATACCATAGTAATATAACTGTATATATTTCAGTTTTTAAAAAACTGACTATATGTCAGTTCATAGTTTGAGTAGCCCAAAAAGAAGTTAATTTAAGCCATAAGAAAAATAAACCCAATATTTTTCATTATTTATTTTATCTCCTTGTGATCCTAGACTGGTTTAATTGCTGTCTTTTTGTTTATCTGGTCGGTTGGTTTGTTCTGGGGTTGTTTTTGTTTTAAAGAGCCGGCTTCTGGGTCTCTCTCTCTAAAAATATGTCATAGCGCCCTCGGACCATCTTCTCATGTTTTGTTACCCAATGTAGGTTTTCTACTCCTCTCCCATAGTCATTCAGTAGTTATTTGAAAGAGAAATAGGGACAAGCAGGTTTTATTCTAGACCACTTAAGATTAAAACTCGAGTTTCATATCGACATCCAGGGAATAGGTTTTTGAACAGGTTTGCATTATGTTATGGGCAGGAACTAGGAGTAGAAGAGGTTGTGAGTCATCCAGTCAGTAGTGTCTGCTAAAAAGCCTGAAGACTCTCTTCGTGTATGAATTTTTCATTTTTGTTACAGAGGAAATAGTTTGTTCCACTTTAATGAGCACTGTCAAGAAGAAAATATAGCTATCACGTATCACCACATGTTCACAGATTTTCACCAAGCCAGACCCCAAAATGACATGCTGCTCTTTCTTCTTCAGAAACATGAATTCTGGAATCTTGCAAGTCTTCCAGAGGGAACTCACCTGTCCCATCTGCATGAACTACTTCCTAGACCCAGTCACCATAGACTGTGGGCACAGCTTTTGCCGGCCCTGTTTCTACCTCAACTGGCAAGACATGGCAGTTGTTGCTCAGTGCTCTAAATGCAAGGAGACAACATGGCAGAGAAACCTCAACACTGACATTTGTTTGAAGAACATGGCTTCCATTGCCAGAAAAGCCAGCCTCCGGCAATTCCTTAGCTCTGAAGAGCAAATATGTGGGATGCACAGAGAGACAAAGAAGATGTTCTGTGAAGTGGACAAGAGCCTGCTCTGTTTGCTGTATTCCAACTCTCAGGAGCACCGGAATCACAGACACTGTCCCATTGAGTGGGCTGCTGAGGAACGCCGGGTAAGTGATGCCTCTGAAGATCTATTTCTATACAGGACACATGAAATTCTTGTAAGTCTATTTCCTTGGAGATTGGATGATGCCATCTCTGTGTCCCCTTAAGCATGTCTGTTATGAGCTTCCTTGACTTCACACTTCTCACGTTTGACAAACATGAGGAGAAACAAAGCAAACTCTATTTTCTGTGGGCTAATTTGTCTCTCATTTGGGGTCCTTCATATATGAGAGTGTGAATGATACTTTATTGTCCTCACTTGTGCTTCAATTCATGGCTCTTTTTCAGGAGGAGCTCCTAAAAAAAAATGCAGTCTTTGTGGGAAAAAGCTTGTGAAAATCTCAGAAACCTGAACATGGAAACCACCAGAACAAGATGCTGGAAGGTTAGTACCGTATTACTCTACCTTCTCCGGGAACTTATAGTGAACAAATGGGTGACTCTTAAAATCGGAACTTGATCTCAACCCATAACCTTTCCGGAATTCAATAAACAAGGAAAAAACACTTGAGAAAAAAACACCCTAATTGCTTATATAAGTTAGTGTGACTCTTTGGTAGGATTTCTAATCAGACCACAGATGTTACCCAAGCATGCTCATCTGTTTCCATACAAACCTATAGGAATACCCCAACAAATACAAGAAACTGGGCCATTTCACACTGTTCCCAATGGGCTGCCTGGATAAATTCTGGACACAAGAGTTATTTGTCAGTCATGGAAATTTCAGGTGACCCTTCTAAGGCTGAGTCAGTAGGAATTTGAATCCTGGTGGGCAAGTACATTGAAATGTGAGCTAAATTTCAGGCAGAAGGAGCAAGAGTGCAACCTTAGGGAAAGCATGAAATGAAATATCAGCACTAATTAATATTGAATAAGTCATAACACATAACGGGAAATGTGGCGAGAAATGTAGACTGGTGTCTTGATGAAGACAGAAATATGTGAGAAACATGGGAACTAGTATTTAATATAAGGAGAACTCTAAGGACTTGAGAAGAATTCTAGAAATGATTTTCTCTTTGTGGATGTTTATATTGAGGGTATGATATCTAATATTACTTCATTAATTTATTCTAATATTAATTCATTGAAAGATATTTTATGAGTACCTAGTCTATGTCAAATATCAACTTAGAAAATTAAGGTGTAAAGAAGAAAGAAAACACACAAATCATGCCATGGAAATGAGAAAAGCAAATGGTCACCATGCAGATATGTGAAGTACATGATGTGTTAGAGTGTAGTAGTGTCTTTGGAGAATAATCCAAAGGAGCACAGAGGCCAGGGACTGGGGATGAGGGTTTGAGTTTTAAATAGGGTGGTCAGAAAAAAAGGCTCATGGAAAAATTCACACTGAAACAAAATCTTGATCAGGAGGAAATATGTATATCCTCCTGTTTACCTTCCTCTTCCTCGTAAATATATGAATATATATGAGTATCTGGGTGTTGGTATATATATATATGGATATATTTGAGGAACATATATATACACACACATACATGTATATATTCCTCATATATCCATATATACCTTTATTTGAGAAATATATATATGAGCACATATATGAGAAACATGTATATATATATGAAAATAATTCTAGGTATAGAAAACAGCATGTGCAGTAATATTTAATTTGCATTTATTTGGGGCTTTGAGGAACCACAAAGAAGTCCATGTTGCCAATTAGGGTGAGTTTGGAAGAGAATAAATGAAACCTTATTAGAATATGTTATGCTGGGTGAAATGCATTGAGTTGACAATGCTAGTCTGGGTCATGTCATCATTTGTCATATAATGGTTTTACATAACTTGCCCCAATTCTCCAAAATAGAAATAATGGTTTCTTACCTAGTCAATATAACTCAATAGTTTGATTCTTAAGCAAGAACTGTGTTTTCTTTCTATAAATGTGGTGTGAAAGAGAGAAATCCATTTTTATATAACTATCTTAGAAAACATTTTATCATTAATCAAGTAAATGTAACTGGGCAGAAACAACTATGTTGATATTAGTACAGAAAAAAAGGAAAGGAATAAAATTTTGTGGAATCTGAGAATTAACAAGATTGAGGATTAAAATATTGGGTTTTCAGAATGCTAAGAGGAATCAGTGAAATTCAAGAGAAGATGGATAAAACATTTCTATTTTGACTAATTGTCACTGCAGGATTATGTGAGTTTAAGGATAGAAGCAATCAGAGCTGAATATCAGAAGATGCCTGCATTTCTCCATGAAGAAAAACAACAACATTTGGAGAGGCTGTGAAAGGAGGGCGAGGACATTTTTCAGCAACTCAATGAAAGCAAAGCCAGAATGGAACATTCCAGGGAGCTTTTAAGAGGAATGTATGAGGATCTGAAGAAAATGTGCCATAAAGCAGATGTGGAGCTACTCTAGTACGAACTGACCATGGGGTATCATGATGATGAAGATTCACGTGCATGGGTGTTTTTCCTCTCTCCTGAAATCCGTCTCCCCCTTTACTTCCATGATTTGTTTCCAAAAACACGATTTGATAACTAATGCTACTTGGTTGGGAGGGTATAGCCTCTCCTAGTGATTCTACCAGAACGAAGGTCCCTCCTACTTTATCCACCAGCAACAAAACTTTGTGGAATGACCAAGGTAACAGACAGCCCCAAGAAATATTTCCCATCAAAAGTCAGTGATTTATTTAGGATTTTTGAAAGTGGATAAAATGAGAAGTGATTCATTGGCATTTAGGCTAATTTGGAGACATGTCATGATGGAGAAGTTGGGGAATCTAGGATCACACTAATATTATTTTGGGGTCCACTCATTTTGGTAACAGGGCTTAGGGTAGATGGCTGAGTAGCTTCTTTATGGTTACAGCAGAGCATGGACTCTGTGGGCCTCCTCTCCCTTCACTTGTAAAGAGAATGTCTTCAAGACTTAGACTTTATCAGGACATTAATTCATGACATATGATAGACTGGGATTGTCATGAGAAAAGAAACAGAAAATGCTTTCCAGGAGGGAACATTGTAGGAAAATAATATCTTCAGAAACTGTCTCCATAACTCACAATGCACTTAGTTGAAGATGCATCTTGTGGAAAGCACTAAGCCTTTCTATTTTTTCTTTTTTACAGTCTTTTGGAGACATATTACAAAGGTGAGTGCATACCAAGATTTTAGCAGATGTTTTCAGTTTCCACAAATATCAAGCAGGAACTTTGATATTGAAGGTATAATTGATTCAGATATTGATACTACCTTGTGCTGGTTGTACTTTCTCCATCCCCCACCCCATGTAGTCATCTATTTTGTTGCCAGTGTTTTTATTAAGCAGTTCAATGAAAGTTCTGCAAAACCAAAAATAAATAAATAAATAAATAAATAAATAAACAAATAAATAAATAAAAAAGAAAGAGAACAAAAGATAAATAAATGAAAGAAAATAAAGGAAGTGAGCATCTCTATTCCTAATTTCCTTTTTATTGCTCAAAAGCCTTCATATTTGAAAGAGAAAATATTACATTTACTACATGGCTACAAAGTCAACCAGGGGAAGCCAGAGAGAAAAGGGGAAAGTATTTTAGCAGTGAAAAGTGTTGATGATTTCTAGTTTATATTTAAATATATAATTCTGAAAAATAGATGAAACAAACTATTCGGAATGTTTGAGCCGTGTAGGCCTCCAGAGAACCTCAACTATAAAAGGCAGATCTCCCTGCCTGGAGCACGTTTCAATACCCTGGCCTTGAGAAGGAAGAAACAGACACAGCAGTCTTAAAAATAACCCCACTTTTCCAGACAGTGATTTCAGGAATTTCTGGTGAGGTCTGGAACCCAGAATTTCATTTTGGAATATTCTCCTAGTCTTGAGACTAATGATCCTTACTAATTTGGAGCAATACGAAGAAAGATCCGAATGAATTTCTCTGTCAGAGAGACTTTTCCATCGTGCTTGAAAATGAGGAACTGTGAATAAGAATGAATTTGAAAAAGAATGATAATTTTGGAATTAGCAAATGTGTGGATTAAAGGGATTCTCATGAAATGTCTTTTAAATAAATGTGGTGATTTTTATGTATTTTTTTGGCTGTAGATGTGGTAACTCTATCTTTCTCCTTGCAGGTATGAGTCTCTGCTGCTGCAAGTGTCTGAGCCTGTGAATCCAGATTTCAGTGCAGGGCCCATCATTGGACTGATGGACAGGCTCAAGAGATTCAGAGGTGAGTGTCAGCCCATTGGCAGAATTCCCACAGTGTATTACTTCTTGTTAGAATCATGGGGGTAATATTTTACCCTTCATCAAATCTTTATTTCATTTCAGCAGGAAGTGAACCATATGACGATGCAACCCTTTTATATCTGTGTTTCTATTTATAGTCCAAATTATAACATGAAGAGTACAACATAGTGAAAAACAAATATGTTCTGGGCTCACATGGATAGAATTATACATTGGGTAAATGGAATGACATAAGAAATAAAAAATTGAATAAATGGAACAATGCTCAGAAGGAAGCGTAGTAATCCAAGGTTACATAAAAGTTTTACACTTCTTTACTGTATTTCATTTGAATTATTAAACACATTTCATTGGGGAATAGAGTTCACTGCAGTTTGTTGGAGTATTTGTACTTTCTTACAATAAATATATATTGTTGATATAATGTAAAATTTTGACTTAACATGTAAAAAGAAAGAAGAAATTATTATGTAAATAGGAAGTAAACATGGAAATAATAATTTCAGTTTAGTTACAACATGAAGAGCTACGTGTAAAATCCAAAATTCGGTTTCAGTCTAGAGCTAGCAGGGATGTCCGCAAAGTGACTAGTAGAAGATTTTGCAAAAATCTGCCTTAAGTTACCACTTATAATTTGAACATATGGACTTTTATCCAGTTATCTAGAGGGGTGCTTGAGTAAGCTAAAATCTTCCCATTCCTGCCAGAATTATGCCACTAGTATTTAAGAACAAGAAATATTTTAATAATAATGACCTTGATAGCTAAAGGGCATTCAGGGCATAAAATATTTCACTTTCACATAGGAGATTGGATTAAAACAGGCTGGTCTTATATTTGACTCTCAATTTTTAAGTTTTCAATAAATTTTCAATGTCTGTTTTTAGGGTTTTGTTCTTCCTATAGAGAATATTAATCATCCTTATACTTTATTAAATGTTGTAGTCACAGTTCTCCTGTCCTTGGAACTTCAAATTTCTTGGTAAAGTAAACTCTTGGTAGAACAACTTTTCTCTCAAGAATTCTAATTTCTATTAATTACATGTATCTATATTTTTAAAAAATTATTTTTGCAGTTGATTTTACTCTGCAGCCTGAAAGGGACAATAGTCATATCTTCCTGTATGGAGATTTGAGAAGCATGAATATTGGATGTGACCCTCAAGATGATCCCGATATCACTGCAAAATCTGAATGTTTTCTTGTATGGGGGGCTCAGACTTTCACATCTGGCAAATATTATTGGGAGGTTCACGTGGGGGACTCTTGGAATTGGGCTTTTGGTGTCTGTAACAATTATTGGAAAGAGAAGAGACAGAATGACAAGATAGATGGAGAGGAGGGACTCTTTCTTCTTGAATGTGTTAAGGAGGACACTCACTGCAGTCTCTTTACCACCTCCCCACTTGTGGTGCAATATGTTCCAAGACCTACCAGCACAGTGGGATTATTCCTGGATTGTGAAGGTAGAACCATGAGCTTTGTTGATGTTGATCAAAGTTCCCTGATATACACCATCCCTAATTGCTCCTTCTCACCTCCTCTCAGGCCTATCTTTTGCTGTAGTCACTTCTGACCAGAGAAAAGTCAGAAATGTGTCTATGTGCTCTGGGAACCTGTTTATCCCAGAAAGCCCTCTTTTCTTCACACCTCATCAAACAGAACAAATAAGTTATATTTTATGTCTTTAGTTGCATTCTAATGTCATCAAAACTCATTTATAGTGTTTCTATTAAATATGGTGAAAACACTAAAACCATGTGTATTGGTTCCTTTTTAAATCATTTTTGGAAAATCATTACCCATGATGTATGGCATAGAATATATTCTCTGGTTTTTAATTATTTCTGAATGTCACAAAGTGAAATAATAGATGACAGAGTTGTCTAAATGAAGTTAAAATCAGTGGAAGAAAGTAGAGATCTTGGGCTTCATGAAGAAACTTGGAGTAAAAAGACTCAATGGTAACCTGGAAATATTTCCTTTCTCTTCATCTAACAATATTATACTTATCCATGTGTTTTGTTTATGAACCTATTCTTTGAGGTAATCTTATTTGACATCCTATGCTGGGCTTATCTTTGTAAATCTCACCTTATATACAAAATGCTCATGCATTATTAGACTGCTGTTCCACAGTGAAATTTACAAGGGGATCAGGACAATGCTGGATCAATTAAATGTTCAAATGGACATAACTGAATACTGATCCCTACCTCAAACCATACACAGTGCATTTCCACATGGATTCATGTTCTGAAGGTGAAGGGAACACAATAAAATATTCTCACACAGAAAGATTTCCTAACCAGGACAAAAAAGGACCAATTAAGAAGAGAAATTTAGTTAGTTTACATAAAAAATGATGACTTCTGTGTTTCAAAATATACCATCCAAGAATTAAAATGCAAACCAAGAGTGGAGAAAAATATTTATCCCAACATATATGCAATAAAATATAATACATGTGATTAATGAATGTAATAAATAAAAGAAAATGAACCTAATATAAAATTGGGAAAATATTTGAACAGGCCCTTCATAAAATTGGAGGCATAAATATCTGGACCAATATGAAAAAGGGATTACTTTTATTAGTCCTCAGAATAATAAAAATTAATCCATAAGTTGAACTACAGGCCTCCATAAAAATTAGGAAAATTTAAAGACACATAATGTAGTGTGTTGTGAAAGATAAAGAATCAATGAAAGTTATTCATGGCTGGAGGGATGTAAACTGAAATACTTTTTTGGCAAACTGACTATGAGCATTCCTTATGGGCTAGATATTCTAATTCTAAAATATATTCCTCAGACTGCCTATGTGTATTTCAAAATAAACACAATGTTTTTCATTGCAGCAATTTTTTTAGTAGCTCCAAATTGGAGACAAAATGAATATTCATCAACAGTAGAATTGCTAAATAGTGATCTCATCGTACAGAAGAATTTTACAAAACAGAGATAACACTGAAATGCAACAAGTTAATGAATTTCAAAGAGAAGTTTAAGAAAAGATTTGAAACACACAAATGTTATATTACAGTGTTTTATTTAGATAAATTGTGAACTCCATTAATTGATGCTAGAAGTTAGAATATTGAATAATGTTTTCGCATGTAATGGTTAGGAAACTTAAAAATTAACCAGGATAAGATAGAGGAAGGATTGCAATCAAGGAGAGAAATTATAAGCATTTTTCAGGCAGAAGAAAATTTTATATATATATATATATATATATATATATATATATATAATTTTAACGTATACGAAGTTTGAAATAAATGAATTTGATGTTTTGCCTAATTTTTTCAAATGCATATATATATAATTTAATTTATGATAATTTAACATCAACATTAAGACATAAAACTTTTTTATTATTATACTTTAAGTTCTGGGGTACATGTGCAGAACGTTCCGGTTTGTTACATAGTTATACACGCACCATGGTGGTTTGCTGCACCCATCAACCCGTCATCTACATTAGGTAGTAATCCCAGTGATATCTCTCCCCTGGCTCCCCACCCCAGACAGGCCCCAGTGTGTGATGTTCTCCTCCCAGTGTACATGGGTTCTCATTTTTCAACTCCCACTTATGAGTGAGAACATGTGGTGTTTGGTTTTCTGTTGTTGTGTTGCTGAGAATGATGGTTTCCAGCTTCATCCATGTCCCTGAAAAGGACAAGAACTCATCCTTTTTATGGCTACATAGTATTCCACGGTGTATATGTGCCACATACATTTGTTTTACAGTCTGTGAAGAGATTCAGAGAATATCACATTTTAAGACCTGTATTTCCCTCCCATCTCCCCTGTGTAACAAAACCCTAAAACTACAAAGGGAAATATAAGGAATGCCATTGCCCTTGCAATGCTGGTAAAACTAATTGAACTTTGGAAAGGGGAAAAGAAAAAATATGTGGAAGATTTAGACCTACACCTGAAAGTTGGACAGGATCATTAAGAAGGTTCCAACCATGGAACCATAGTTCCAACCATGAAGCAAAGCAGTGCCTTCTGGGGGACAGAGCAGAATTTGGAGGGAAACTTAAAGTTGAGGATACAGCAGATACTGAGAAAAGCTGCTGAACCAGTCCAATCCAAAACACAAAGTAATGCTAGATGAGCAGGAAACTTATGGTGCACTGGAATTAACTCTAAGAACAAGTCTCAAAACCAAATCAACTCCTGACTAGATTGATTCAACCTTCTCCCTCAAAACATACACATACAGCCTAGTAAAAGGGAACACATGCAGGTTTTGCTTTCTATATTAGTTCTACTCTACATAGTTCACTTTCTGAGTAAAACTTACCAGACCTATACTGAAACAGAAAAGGTAAATAAAGGACACACTGTTAAGAGAAAAAGCAATTAATAAAGCCAGATTCAAATGTGGCAGAGGTGTTGGAATTATCTTTCAAGTAGATCTCATGGGTACTGTTCTAGAAGCCCTTAGTAGGGTATAAAGCCCCCTTTTTTAAATTATACTTATGTGACAAGATCTTCCTTTTATCCTCTTATGTAAAAGGTATTTCCAATCCATATTCATCTCTGTATTGGCAGTCACATTTTTTGACAATTTACAAATGTTAGTCCACTGTCTTATACTTACATTTATGATTATGGAGCAGTCTGTTGTCATTCTATTAAGTGTTCCCTCAAAATGAAACAGTTTACTTTGGCTGCTTTTAAGAGATTCTTCATCTTCGGTGGTGGTTTCAAGCTTAAACACATCATAATGAATCAGCCAACAAAAACAGAGAAATACTAAAAATCAGCCAAAATATATTGTTTTACACATTCAAAACAAAGTAAATTTATGTTTTATACATCCCAAATGGGGATTGTTTGGCTTCCTGAATTCAATTCATTTGCTTACTCTGAAAAAATTATCAAACATTATACCCTTGAATATGTACTCTCCTCATCTTCTCTACTTTGCTCTACTGTGTGCTACAGTCAATCACACATTATGCTGTTTATAAAGGACATACATGATACTCTCATCCTCCTTATGTCACTATCACTCTCCTAGTTTACCTCTATTTGTCCATCTGTGAAGCCTTCTTGACATATCTTTATATCTATTATCCAATTCACACTTTCTGCAGCTTCATTTAACTTGCTAAACAAAGTTTTCACTAAACAGCAAATTTTACTGATTTCACTTTTACCAATATAAATTAGAATTTATATGGTAAAAGAATTTCTTAAATGACTGCCAAATATGAAAAAATTCATGTATATATTATATATATTTACATATGTATGTGTTATATACACATACAGAAAATTGCTATTGGTAACGGTGGTTTTCACAGGAGTCTACAACTACTGAAGATTTTATTTTTCCTAAAAGATATAATATTTCCTTAAAGATATTCTGTTTCTTAATTATAATAAAGATAATTCTTATGCTTTTATCAACAACATGAATTAATAGGCTGCGTGCAGTGGCTCACGTCTGTAATTTCGGCTCTGTGAGAAAATGAAGCAAAAGAATCACTTGAGCCTAGCAGTTTAAGGCTGCTGTGAGCTGTGATTGCACCACCGCACTCCAGCCTAGGTTACAGAACCAGAATATATATATATATGTATATATACATAATATATATATATGTATATATACATAATATATATATATGTATATATACATAATATATATAAAATACATATAATAATCAAATATATTTAAAATACATATATATTATATATGTATAAAAATATATAATATATAAAATATATAATATATATGTAAATTGACAATAATACTTTAAAACCTGAAATCAAGCTTCAAAAGCAACAGCAAAGTGCCTTTCCAGTCTAGTTCAGTGAATATTAGAATTAAAGCCAACTTCAGGTAACATTTCCAAAAACATAAGAAAAAAAAGAAAAAAGAAAAAGAAAAACTATTCCAGACTTTTGAAGACATTTATTAAAATCATAAATTGATGGTATCCTCTTTCTCATCTTTTGATGAGTAAAATATTAAAAGACTCCAAAAATTATCTACAAATTTGGTATTTGAGGCTTCATTTGTTGTAAACTCAGTGGTTCTTGATAAGTGGAAGTTTAAAGTTTGTTTATGGAGATTAGCCAAGGTGTTGAATCAATCATTTCCTCTCTTCTGGTGAAACCTAATCAAGAACCCTAATGGCTATCCCAAACTCCAAGAACTGTACAACCTGTTTGAAATGGGTGTGATTTTTCAGAGATTCAATAAAAAGAGGTACAAGTAGCCAAGCTCATTCTTTTCTGGGACACACAGAGTGGCTTTGGAACTGGCTGTGAAGATGTCTGAAAGCTACTACCACTATATGGTGAGGCCCTGATCCCTGATCAGACTTTATAGTATTACTTCTACAGCAAGTTTCAGTGAGACCATAAGTATATTTCTAGGGTGAGAACACAACTAACAGAGGAGGAGTTCCTGCTACTTTTCCAATCCAAAACAGACTACACTATGTTTAATTTTCCAACAAACTGAGCTTGTTTCTGTAAGTGATGTCATTTGCTTACTTAGTAAAAACATTTTTACTCTTATTTTGTCATCCTGTCTTCCTACATACTTGTGAAATACAGTGAAGATTAATTTTACTTGTATCATTTATGTATTCCTTAGTTGTTCCTATGTATTCTGAGAACACAGAAAATAGTTTTCAGATATCTTGCAATTTCATACTTGTTGTATATCCTAAATTTTATTGAGAATATTTTATTTTGTATGTTGTACACAAATGTAATACCCTCTGTTCTAAAGTTGGCACATAAATATATGCACAAGACAGAATATTCTATAATATACAACTTAGGTAATGTGTTGAATAATTTGAGGATAATATTGTTTTAGAGTATACTAAATGCCTCTTCAGCATTTCTGGGTGAAATCTGATCAAATCTCACAATGTTCAGTAAATAAATAATGGTTATTTAGAAATCATTTTGCAGTGGTGGATTGTGATTGAGATTTTTCAAAATACTTTAAAGGAGAAAATTATGACATCTAAATGAAACAATGAGGGTAAAATTGCAGTTAAATACCATTTCCTAAACCAATCACTTTTTTACTTTTGTACTGAATCAATCTTTTCTAATTCAATCACAATGAGCATTAAGAATGGTTTTCAGAGTATTCGGGACCCATCATCTAATGGTATAAATTGGTCCTAATTTCATACTCTTAAACCTGAAGTTTTTTGCCGTAAAGACAAAACTCAACAAAACTGATGTTTCTTTTCTTTTCTTTTCTTTTTTCTTTTCTTTTTTCTTTCTTTCTTTCTTTCTTTCTTTCTTTCTTTCTTTCTTTCTTTCTTTCTTTCTTTCTCTCTCTCTTTCTCTCTCTCTCTCTCTCTCATTTTCTCTTTCTTTCTTTCTATCTTCTTGCTTTATTGCCCAGACTGAAGAGCAGTGGCTCATTCTCAGCTGACTGCAACTTCAGTGTTCAAGCAATTCTCCTGCCCAGTCTCCTAAGTTTCTGGGATTACAGGTATGTGCCACCACTCCTGGCTGATTTTTGTGTTTTTAGTAGAGACAGGGTTTCCCCATATTGGCCAGGCTTGTCTCCAACCTGATCTACCAGCCTTGGCATCCCAAAGTGCTGGGATTACAGGTGTGAGTAGTGCCTAGGTATCAATGACAGAAATTTAAATGGAATCTGTGAGAATATCTTCCTTCCTGGAACTTGCATTTCACTGAGGGAGTGATGAAGTTAATAATCATTATAATAATTTGACTGTTTAGTTTAATGTTCAAGGCACCGTAAGGAGCTCAATCTCAGAAAGAGTTTCTGGCCATCTAAACTACAAGTTCAAAAGCCTTCTATATAAGAAACCTATCTACCAACACTGGAAATAATAGAATAAAATATGCTGGAATTAGCAAGGCACGGTGTAATTAGATTCCAATTCTGATGCAAGATGCCACATTATCTGTAAATTAGTTCTGCTTATGATTTTCCTATTAAACTGGTTGCATTCCATGTTTTGGTTCTACAGTCTGAGATCTTCCCAGATCTCCTTCATATCTCATCCCTTGATTTCTTTATCACTGGGGGTCTGACACCCAAAGCAATGTGTTTCTCTGATGTTCAAATTCATTGTTCTTTTATAGGAGAAGATAATGAAGCAAATGAGATCTTTGGGGGCAAAAATTCAAGAAAACCAAAGAAAGCTAAACGAGAAGAGCAGGAAAACCAACCAGTGAATAGTAAGTATTAGGCCTTTTCCCTCAGATTCAGCCTCAGACAGACATGCTACCAATGTGTCCACTTACCACTTGAGTGGAAATCATCTTGGTTAGGATTAGAGGAAGGTTTTTTCTCATGGCTTCCAATCCTGAGGGTACAATGCAGCATTGATTACTGCTCAGAGAGAGTGGTCAGGCTATGGAGTAGGGAAGTTTGGTACTAAAGACTAATTTAAAAACTTAATACTGCAAAAAATTATCTGTGAATCACTGTAAATTCCAATGACTACCATATAGGTTGTCCAACATCAAAGGGTGTATATTGAAGAAATGATGAATAATAAACTTTCTTCGGGTGTTTTAGGAAGTCATATAATGAACAAAAGAGGTTTAAGAAAATAATGAATTTGGCTTCTAGTATTGTTAAGAAACAATAAAAATAAATGAAAGAAAGGGAGGAATGATTGATTTCATGGTTCTGAGAAGTGGGAAGACATGAGTTTATGTACATAGCTTATTGGTAGGATACATCAGTCAGTCTAGGCTCAGTGGCTGAAGTTCGTAATCCCTATGATTTGGGACTGCTACATCAGGAAAGGGTTTTAAAGATGAATTTCCCTTGAATGATTATTTGTTTTTAAATCCTGTGATGAAATATTTGCTATTAGAAAGCTCAATTGTATTTTCCTCTTTAAAGGAGTGAGTCAGAGCAGTGGCACATGCCCCAGTGTGTGAGCTCAGAGCTCAGTGCTCAACCCATCACTGGACTAATGGACAGATTTCATGACCTCCAGGTGAGTGTCAACCTGCTGAAGTGATGACCACACAGTGCCCATCAGGCATGGCTGGCTGACTGGCTTTCTTTCTTTCTCTCTTTCTTTCTCTCTCTCTCTCTTCCCCCACCCTCTCTCCTCCCTCTCTCTCTCTTTCACCAAAGCTGGAGGGCAATGGTGCAATCTTGGCTCACTGCAACCTGCACTTCCCAGGTTCAAGTGATTCTCCTGTCTCAGCCACCCAAGTAGCTGGAATAACAGGCACCCACCATCATGCCCAGCTCATTTTTTTTTTTTTTTTGTATTTTGTAGAGCTGGGGTTTCGCCATGTGTCCAGGCTGGTCTTGAACTCCTGACCTCAGGTGATCTGCCTCCCAAAGTGCTGGGATTACAGGCATGAGCCACTACTCTTGCCCTCAGGCATGGTTTTACTACAGGGAATTTTTTGTTATTTATTAATCTTTCATCTAATAAAAGGGAACAGACTGTAAAGAGCATTTATAAGCATACTTAGTAATACAGTTCTTATGATCATATGGAAAAAATAAATGAAAGCTGGTGTAATGGTAAACGTCATTCAGTTTCCTCTTGAGTCTGGGCCTTTTGGGTCTGGGTCCCTCTGTGCAGCCAAGGCAGGTCAGATGGAGAGAGATGGTCCAGACCTGGCCAAATGGGTTCTACACGAGCCTTCTGGGTCAACACTGCCTTTCAATAAAGACCTGGGCTGTGATGACTCCAGTCGTGTTCTCCACCACAGTGGGTGGAGTGCTCACAGTGGGTCCTTGGGCCATGGGAGACCCCATTATATACATTGAACAACATGCCATCAAAGCATTTCCCATCTGACACTGCCCGGGTCCCATAATAAGCTACAGCAGCATCATAACCTTTGCCAGCACGAAGCCCGGTGTCCTTTTGGTTTATCCTTGTGTATGAGTAAACACACTTACGCTCGCCTGTGCGTACCCTCACACCATAGTGTACACTGTCCACAGTGGCACCACCTGCTACTGAGGGCCGTGCCTTTTATCAAGTCTTATTTCAAGCTGGCTCAGCATGAGGAAATTGTGTATGCAACACTGACTTTCAACTGAGTCACTCAAAAATTAGTAAAATCATTTCAGGTAGTGTGTGTTTTTCTTTTTCCTGCTTTCAAACACAACCTCCAGAGGAGTTTTTTTAGCCACTTATTTAAAATGTTAATGAAGGAACCTGTGAGTGCAGGGGCACTGAAACGAGCAGTTGATTTAAGTCATTCTAATGCATAAGCAAGTTCCAAATGCACTGAGAGGTGAGGAGGGGAAGATGCAAAGGGTGCCTTGGGAAGAACTGCTTTTGCGGTAAGCCCTTGGCGGCTCCCAGCATGCCCGCTGCGATGGCATTCACCCCACTGCAGTCGTCATCATCAAGGTGACTTTTTTTGTTTTAGAAGGATCTTCTGTGGTCAGGGTTCCACCTGTCCTTCCCTAGACCATGGCCCTCCAGGCAGTTCTAGGCAGGTCCCAGCAAAAAGCACTGGGGTAGAAACCAAGGACCAGGCCCACAGAAACAGGGACCCCGGGAGCTTCCAAGGAGGAGTGCTGACTGCCAGGTACAGAATCCATAGAATTACCCACCATGAGAGCCAGAGGGACCTGCGCCAATCCCTGGGGAGTGTGTTAGGATTTCCCCAAATACTGTAAAAGAGAAAAGTTCTCAAACTTTATCACGTGAAAGATTAATGATGTCTAGGAGCTGACACAGAACAGGAGGACTCTGACCACCGCAGGACCAGCGAGATGTGTCAGGACAGAAATGAGCAAGCTTGAGTCTCTGGGCACACCTGGGGAAAGAGTAATGCAAGGCACACATCAGGGCTGTGACTCACTCCTCAAAGCAGGCTTGGTTCCCCAGGGTAAGAGTGAAGAGACAGACTCCCCACATCATGTAGTGTGGATGGCAGGGCTGCAGGGGATGTAGTCCTCTTGCAGGTGGGCTGCCAGAGACCTGGCAGCCAGACCCACTTCTTAGTGAGGGCACATTTATTTCCTCTCTGGGATGCATTTCATCATATTCACTTTGTACCCACGATTCTTCCTGACAGCCTGAAACAGCAGGCTTTGCACCTTTTCAGGCCTGGGGTCTGGCCTTACACCAGGGGCTTCTGTTTCACCCACAATAGACTCGCCTCCACACCAGAGACCTGGTCACTGCTGACAGCAGGGAGAGAAGAAGGCAGAGGGGTCCAGCACGGCCCTCCTGCATTCATAAATCCTCTTTTCCAATGAACATCATGAACTCCCTGTCTCCTGCTCCCAGGAGAAGCCTCGGGTCTCAGGAGTGGTCAATGCAGAGATGACAAATGTATTGAAATTCTGATCTCCATAGTCTTGAGGTGTCTAGTGTTGCCAGGAGACTGTCAGGAGGAGCTCCAGAAGAAAGAGGCACAGAATGTTTCACACTGCTTTCCCCAAGTGCAGCCAATGGACAGCCTCTGCACACTGAGGTAATTCTAGATGATTGGCTCCACACTTTTCCCTCCTCCTTTCTAGTGAGATTAGTGCTGGCTGACTGTAGAACACTTTATTCACAGAAGCAAGTAGAAAATATTGTCACTCTTAATTCACATGCCCCAACGTCAGACCAGGAGTGCCCGGTTCTGGAGGGAAGTGCCAGGACTGGCTCCTTTGTGTTCTCATCAGCCACCTCCACGCACATGGAGGTGAATTTCACTGGTGTTGATACATGCTTTCATATCCACGAGAGGCTCTCCGAGGGACAGACTTCACACACACCGCAAAGCCATTTCTGCTGCCAGAGTCCCCAATCTCCAATCACCAAAAAAATTCTCCACCAAGGGACGAGCTCCACTCATCTCACTTGTAACCAGTAGCATCGACATTGTCTGAGAAATATTTATTCTGTCCAGTTTAAGCTTAATTTTCACAAACACGAAAAAGTAGTAAAATAGACTTTAGCTTTTCCTTTAACTCTATTTGTATATAAATCCCCGAGAAGGTAGCTGTCAACTTGAAATTCACTATCTACAGTTAATTAACATCAGGATGCAGGGAGGGACCCTGAGCCCCATCCCTGTGCACAGCAGGGGCTGGGCTGTCATTGCAAGAGAGCAAACCTGGTCTCCCTTCTGAGCAAAGAGGAGGGGGTGGGAGGGGCACGGTGGTGTATGAATTCTTAGCCATCAGCACAGATGCTGGCAGGCCTGCTGTTCACTCACTCTGGGGGCCTGGAGGTCCCACCATGATAACACCACATTGCCTCACAGAGGCCCCTGCTTTTCTGTCCTTGGTAGACCTCAGGGTAGGTGGTGCCAGGGATGATAAAGAACTTCACCAACTGGGAGAAGAAAACAGGCAAAGGAAGGAAGGGTGAATGAGGAAGAAGAGATGAGGCAACAGGGGTGGGAGAATGTGGTGATAAAGCCAGTGGGGATAGTGTGGTGGCAACTGACAGGAGAGGAGAAGGGTGCCCATGCTCATCAGTCCCTTCCTTCCTGAACAACATGAGGGGTGTAGGGAGGGCGAGCCCTCAGTGAGTGAATGCAGCAGTTCAAAGAAACAAAAGTAGACAAAAATAATCAATGTTCTCCTAGGACACCAGGTTTTTAGAGAGGCCACTGTGAGACCTCTGAATGCCCGATGCCCAATAGTGCCGAGTGGGTAAGTGACAAGAATCCTGCATCCCCCCCAGCCCTGTGCACCTCCTGAGACCGAGGAGCCTGTGTCACCAGTACCTGCGGCTAGAAGAAAGGGCTTCCAAATGGCTCAGAAAGATGAGTGGGCATTTCACTCCACCTCTGGGACCAGATGACCACACCTCCCCTGAGGAATCCCTTACCCAAAATAATTGAACATAATAATGTTGCTTAAGTATAAAGTGTCTCATCTGATTACCCCGACACTGACCCCAGGACACCCCCCTCAAGGTGGCTCCAGTTCCCCATCATCTAGACTTTTCTCCCTGCCCTGCCACACTCCCTGAGCCTGGCTGCAGGCCTGCTTGTCCCCTCTGCTGCCCACTCCAAAGAGAATAAGAAACCAAGAGCATGGGCTTGCCACAGGTCAAGGAAAGAGGCTTGGTGACACTTCCTTTGACTTAGAAATTTCCTCTACCAGCAAATCTGCTTCCACATGGCAAAAATGAGAAGTGCTGGGCCAGTAGCCAGGCACATAGCTGCAGAAGCCACCTGGACCTGCCTCATGGGCCAAAGGGAACGGCTGCCCACAGGCAAGCCACGTCTAGAGTGAGTCCAGAGAGACCAAGGAGAGTCTGGGATCCAATCAGGGATGACCTTTCTTTCAGTTGGGTCTGGTGGGTTTTCAAAATCCAGTCTTTCCACTGGGGCCATACCAAAGCTCCGGGGGAGGTCAGGCTTCCCAGTCCCACCAGAACCCCCCTGTGAAGTTGTCATTTTCTCTCAAGTTGCATACACTGGCCAGGTAAAGGCAGCTTCTACTCACCAGGCAAGTGGCCAGCTCACCTTCAGATTTGCCAAAGCAATCTGGGTCCTGCCCCATACTTGCTGGCTAGGCAGGCTTTTCAAAATGCAGGTATCTCTGGAGCTGTTTTGTGGACACCAGGAGCATTACTTGACAAGCCCTGTGCTGGTCCCAGGGTACTCTGTGCACCTGGGTAAGGCTGGAACACATTGGGGACAGGGACCCAACATGCCCACTCTGGAACAGCTTGGGACCTGGGGAAATCGCCAGTTGTTTTCTGTCCTGCCATTGCTGTTCAACACATCCCTGGAGACTATGAGCATCGGTTACAGTGTGATAGTGGCTGGTCAGGACCAGAAATTTCCTTTTTTGACCTGGAAGCAGCAGACACCCAAGGCTTAGGGTAGAAGTGGGGGCTCCATACCGTTACCAGTGCCAACTTCCCATGGCGGAAACAGGAAGGAATGTCTGGCAACCCACCAAGGGTCAGATGCCACATCAGCCCGACCGAAGCTGCCAGACACTGGCTGTTCCGATGACAATTAGACATTCTTGGGAAGGTGGAGCCATTTGTGAGAGCTCAGGATGGGTGTCCTGGAAGTGCCACTTCAAGGCGACTGAGGCCTCTCAAAATCCCTGTGTTAGAGTTGCAGCTCTCCATGTGGGCTGCAGTGCAGTCACCTGTGGAGCTTTAGGACAGGCCCAGGGCTCAGCTCCCTGGACCAGTGCCTTCAGAACTTTCACAGCAGGGATAGCCGGCTTGGAAAGGCATGCCTGGGAGACCATGTGACATTGCCTGGCTGGGTCCTGGGCTGACAGAGGTGAGCATGGAGCTCGTGGTGGCTTGGTAATGCTGTGAATTATGTACGTGTGGCAGGAAGGTGCCACAATGCCAAGGCCCCACGTCTTGGAAATTCCATGAGGTCCGCATGAGGTTGAACTAAACACCAAGTGCAGTTCTCAAAGGAAAAATAAAAGAAATACCCACATGAGGGATACTTTGGAACTGAGAGTGGAAGAGAGGGCTGTCTGGTCCACTCCAGGAGAATTTGCCTAAAATAATTTTGCTTCCCATTGCATTCTCTTTGCTTGTTATAAACATCACCTCCCCCAATTCCTTTAATTTGCATCATTCTGGGCTCCTTACTCTTGTTGCATCCTTTTTTTACATTTGAAGGACGTCTGGATTTGATTTACTTAAGAGCATATACGGCTTAATTTTGTATTTCTGGTAATCATCTATTACATTTCCCCCATTTTATCAAATGACACTTTTCCCTCATATCTATTTTTACTATGTAAACGATTTTCTATCCAGTTTATCTAAAACTCCTTGATTAAACAGAGTTTAATTCTAGCAATACATACATGCTTATCTCTGCATTGTTTTATAATTTGATGAGAAATGTTTTTCCCCAATATATGACTGTATGGATAATACTTTTTAAAAAGATACAATAAAATATGATATCTCTTTCTCACTTGATCATGTGGCTGAATGAGTCAATCCCTCCATCAAACAGAAATATCCGGCATCACTTAATCTAATTAATAAAAACATCCAGTGTGCATGTGCACCCACAATGAGAAGAAAAGACCAAAACAAACAGCCAAAAAGGAGAGAATCCCATGATTTCTGTGTATACTATCACAGGGTGTACACACACGATGTACACCCACTGTGATTTTTAAAGTAATATCTCCTTAGGATATTACAAATAGTATCAATAGGTGTACACACCCTATGACATTAAGATAACATCCCTTTAGGATATTCCAAATAATATCCCAGGGTGTAGACCCCATGTGACATTAGGAGTAACATCTTCCTTGGATATTACGAATGAGATCACAGGGTTGACACTCCATGTGATTTTAAAATTAAAATCCCTCAGGAATATTACTAATAATATCACAGGGTGTACACCCTTGTGACTTTAGGAGTAACATCCTCCCAGGATATTATGAATAATATCAGAAGGTGTACACACATTGTGACATTAGTAGTAATATCGCACGAGTAAAGTGTGAATAATATCACAGGGTATACACACCTGTGACATTAGGAGTAACATCCCCCTGGAATATTCTGAATAATATCACAGGGTTTACACCTCCTGTGACTTTAGGAGTATCATCCCGCCAAAATATTACGTGAATAATTGTAAAATTACGAGCATCTCCCTAAGATATTATGAATAATATCACAGAATGTGTACACTCATGGCGTATACCCCATGTGATATGAGGAGTTACATCCTTCTAGTATGTTAGGAATAATACCACAAAGGTGTTCACACATAGTTAACAGCATATGTAATATTAGGATTAACATCCCTCGAGAATTTCACAAAGAACATCACAGGGGCTGTGCACACATGATGTACATGCCCTTTGACATTACGAGTACATTTCCCTGACACATTTCCAGTAATATCACAGCATTTACACCTTCTGTGACATTTGGAGTAACGTCCCCTAGGATAGTACGAATAATATCACTGGGTGTACATCCCCTGTGACCTGAGGAGTAATATCTTTCTAGATTACATGAATAGTATCACAATGTGTACACCCCGTGTGTCATTAAAAGTAAAATTCCCCTAGGATATTATGAAAAATAACACAGGGAGTACACCCCGTGTGACGTTAGAAGTAACATCCCCCAAGGATATAACGAATAATATCAGAGAATGTACATGCATTGGGACATCAGTAGTAATATCTCTTTCCGATAATACGAATAATATCAAAGGGCGTACATGCATTGTGAAATTAGTAGTGAACTCCCGCTAGGATATTACGAATTTCATGACAGGGTGTATATGCCCTGTGACATTCAGAGTAACGTTTTCCTAGAAAATTATGAGGAATATTAAAGTGTGTACAGGACCTGTGATTTACGAGTAACATTTCCGTAGAATATTACACTGTGTGTACACCCCGTGTGACATTAGGAGTAACATCCCACAAAACTATAACGAATAATTTCACAAGGTGTACACCCTCTGCAACATTAAAAGTAACATTTCCCTAGAATATTACGATAATATCACAGAGTGTACACCCCCTGTGATATAGGGAGTAACATCTTGTAAGGATTATACAAGTAATTTGATAAGGTGGACAAACCCTGTGACACAAGGAGAAACATCCCTCTGGGACATTACAAATAATATCAAAGGGAACACACCCCGTGTGACAATAAAGGTAACCTCCCCTTAGGATATTACGAATAATACCACAAGGTGTACACACACTGTGACATTATTATTAATGTCCCACTAGGGTATTGTGAATAATATCACAGTGTGTACAGTCCTGTGACATCAGGATGAACATTCCCCTACAATATTACGAATAATATAGCAGGGTATACACCCCCTGTGATTTTGGTATTGCCATCCTCCTAGAATATGGAAAATAATGTCCCAGGGTGTTAACGAAGAGTGGCAGTAGAGGTAAAATCCTAGTAGTGGAGTAAATCACCCCGCCTCTCCCCCAAGGATATTACGATCCACGGTGGACACACAGCGTGTTTATGTTATTGTGAGTAATATCTTCTCCGCCTCTGGAGATTACCAGCTATGTCATAGACGGGTGTACATCCTCTGCACTATTTGCAGTAACGGCATCCTCTTGCCCCTGGATATTAACAACAATGTCACAGGAGTATTTCTACCCCCAGTGGCATTGGGTGTAGTATCATCCTCTCCCACTCTGAAATTAGGAACGATATCACTGTGGGCGTGTACACACCCTGTGATATTGAAAGTAATATCATCCTCTTTTCTCCTGGATCATGGGACCAATATCAATGGGAAGCGTACACTTTCTGCAATATTGGGAGTAATGTCATCCTCTCCGCCTTTGAATATTAAGGGCAATGTCACAGGGCGGGTGTACATTCTCTGCGATATTGGCAATATTATCCTCTCCCCAACCTGCATATTAGGAAAAATATCACAGAGTGGGTGTACACCTTCTGTGATATGAGTAGTAATATCATCTTCTCCCCTTCTGGATATTAGGAACAATATCACTCTGGAGTGTACACTTTCTTCGAGATTGAGAGTAATATCATCCTCTCCGCCTTTGAATATTAAGAGAAATATCACAGGGGGGATGTACAGCCCCTGAGATTTTGGGAGTAATATCGGGCTCTTTCCCTCCATGGATATTAGGAACAATATCTCAGGGTGGGTTTACACCTCCTGCTATATGGGGAGTCGTATCATTTCTTTTCCTGGATATTAGGGACAATATCATAGGGTGGGTGTACACAGCCTGCGATATTGCTGTAATATCATCCTCTCGCCCTCCAGATGTTAGGAACAATATCACAGAAGGGGCGTACACTCCCTGTGATATTGGGAGTAATATCATTTTCTCCTTCCATGAATATTAGGAGCAATATCCCTGGGTGGATGTACACCCACTGTTACACTGGGAGTAATGTCATACTCTACCCCCTGGATATTAGGAGCAATATCACAGGGTGGGTGTACACCCATAGCGATATTGGGAGTTATTAATATCATGCTCTCCCTCCCTGGATATTAGAAAAAATATCACAAGGGGGGTGTACACCTCGGCACTATTGTGAGTAATATCATTCTCTCTTATTCTGGATAGTAGGAATAATATCACAAGCGGGGTGTACACCTTCTGTGATATTTGGAGTAATATCATCCTCTCCCAACGTGGATATTAGGAACAATATCACAAGGGGGCTGTACACGTCTTTGATATTGGTAGTAATATCATCCTCTCCCCACTGCATATAAGAAACAGTGTGACAGGCGGGGTGGACACCCCCTGCGATATGGGGAGTAATATCACCCTCCTCTCCATCCCTGGATATCATGACCCACGGTGGACACACAGCGTGTTTACGATATTGTGAGTAATATCATCCCCCCTCTAGAAATTATGAACAATATCACAGATTGGTGTACACCCTCTGCAATATAGGGACTGATAACATCCTCTCCACCCCTGAATATTAGGAACAATATCAAAGAAGTGTTTATACCCCCTGTGATATTGGGAGTAATACCATCCTCTCCCAAGTTGAAATTCAAAACAGTGTCACTGGGGGCGTGTCCACCCCATGTGATTCTGAAAGTAATATCATCCTCTTCTCTACTGGATCATGGGAACAATATCACTGGGGTGGTGTACACTTTCTGTGATATTGGCAGTAATATCCTCTTCGCCTTGGAATATTAAGGACAATATCACCGGGGGCTGTACACATCCTGCGCTATTAACAATAATATTATCCTCTCGCGCCCTGCATATTAGGAAAAATATCACAGAATGGGTGTACACCTCTTGCGATATGGGGAGTAATATCATCTTCTCTTCTTCTGGAAGTAGGAATAATATCACACAGGTTTGTACACTTTCTGTGATATTGGGAGTAATATCAACTTCTCCTCCTTTGAATATTAAAAACAGTATCACAGAATGGATGTACACCCCCTGTGATTTTGGGAGTAATATCAGCCTCTACCTTCCATGGATATTAGGAATACTATCCCAGAGTGGGTGTTCAGCTGCTGCTGTATGGGGAATCATATCATCCTCTCCCTTCCTGGATATTATTAGCAACAATATCACAGGGTGGGTGTGCATAGCCTGCGACATTGGGAGTAATATCACCCTCTCCCCCTCCGGATATTAGGAACAATATCACAGAACGGGTGTACACTCCCTGCGATACTGGGAGTAATATCATTCTCTTCTTCCGCGAACATTAGGAGCAATATCACCGGGTGGATGTACACCCACTGCTATATTGGGAGTAACGTCATACTCCACCCTCTGGATATTCGGATCAATATCACCGGGTGGGTGTACACCTACGGCAATATTGAAAGTAATACCATGCTCTCTCCCTCCATGGACATTGGGAACAATATCATAGGTGGGTGTACACGCACTGTGGTATTAGGAGTAATATTATTATTAATTATTACTTATTTATTATTAACATTAATATTAATTACCAATATCAATATTGAGAAATAATTGCTAATAAAAAGTTTTCATGTTATTAACATTAATATTAATTGTTGGTACCTAATATTATTGTTTTCTAATTAATAAGATCAGTATCAATTGTTAATATCAGTTATTATTAATAATTAATATTAATAATTTTATTGTTATCATTAATATAACTATTTAATAATAATTATCATTATTATCAGTATTGATTTTAAATCACTCATTTAACAAAACCTCAGGCCACATACAACTATGCAAAGGGGCTAACATTGTAAGCCCTTAAGGACGGCTTCAACCATTCACTGACACAATAACACTTTTCAGCAAAGAACCCCTATGGCCCTCAACATCTACTATTAACTTTTATATTATTGCTCCAACCCTGGCGCTTTCTTTCGCTCTCCTATTGTGAACCCCCATCCCTATACCAGATCCTCTAATTAATTTTGATATAGGCCTCCTATTTTTACTAACCGTATCAAGCCTAGCCGTCTGCTCTATTCTATGATCAGGGAGAGCAATTAAATTCAAATTATGCACTAATTGGCGCATTACAAACTGTAGCCCAAACAATTTCATATGAAGTAACCCTAGCCGTTATCCTGCTATCAATTCTACTGATAAGTGCCTCGTTTAACTTATATGCACTCATCACAATGCAAGAAATCCTCTGACTGCTCCTATCATCATGGCCCCTAGACATGATATGACTTGTCTTCACACTAGCAGAAACTAATAGAGTCCCAATATTATACATATATATAATTTTTATATATATATAATATATATATAATTTTTATATATATATAATATATATATAATTTTTATATATATATTATATATATATAATTTTTATATATATAATATATATATAATTTTTATATATATATAATATATAATTTTTATATATATAATATATATATAATTTTTATATATATAATATATATATAATTTTTATATATATAATATATATATAATTTATATATATATAATATATATATAATTTTTATATATATATTATATATATAATTTATATATATAATATATATTATGTAAAATATAAATATATAAATGTTTGTATATTATATATTTTATATATTTTATATATAATATATATAAATATGTACCTATAATACAAAATACATAATATATATAATATATATGATGATATATAATTTTTATACCCTCTGTAGAGGGAATTCTTTTTGTTTCTATATCCATCCATAATAAAATACTGTGTCTGTCCATAATAAAAATACTAGTGAAAAATAGGAATTATAGTCACATAAGAGATAAAAGAAAATCTGTTAGTATCAATATATTAACACATATAGATGGTGTTGGTTTTTACAGGGTTTAGTAAAATGCATTCTAATTTTCTAAACAATTTCCACATTACAGTATATTTATTTTTCTCTCTTTCATGATTGGAAAGAGTGCAACAATATACATCCTTATACAATCATCCTTGATTACATCTAAGGGAGCTTCGGCAGTAGTAAAATTACAGGGTTAATATATTCAGATAGGTATTACAGGGTAACCAAACAACATTCCGAATTCTTTCATCAGCAAAGCCCAGTGTAATCCTAATCCAGGTAGCCACGCTAATTAATGCAATTAACTCAGATACATAAATATATACATATACATGTATATGTCTGCATGTGTGTGGATGCACTTAAATGGTTGCAAACACCATCGACTTTTCCTCTCAAACAGCATTTTTGTTGAGAATGAGGTATATTCACTAGTTCATCAAAAATCTTTTTTAAATTCTTAGATGATCACATTTGTTACAGTGACCAGCTGGATTAGAATCAGATTAGGTTTAAAATGATGAAGGAATCTGGGAAAGGGGACAGAGTGTTGGTTGTTAATTAGCACATGGATCAAAGAAGAGCACTGATGTGTTTAGAAACCACAACATTGACAGGATAAAAGCCAGAACTAACAATCCAGTTGTAAATCTCTTTACTGTGGTATTTTTTTTGCCATTTGTGCTCCATAAGACACACTTTAACCACTTTGTCGTGGTATCTGCTGTATTCTATCTTAGTCTAAATAGCATTTTCTCTCAAATGCATTCTGTTTCTCTCTCCTTCATCTTCCCTCCCTTCTTCCTTCCAGCTGTATTTTCTCACTAGAGAACACTACTAGAATGTTCTCCTAAATTTCAGATTTCAGATATGCATCTGTAAAATGATCTTATGGAGACACATTTTAGTTGCTACTGAATACTTGGTTGTTTTCATAAGTTCGCAGCATTACTACTGTCCTCCAAAAAACGGTTTCCCATTTCCACAGCTAATCTCATCATTGACTCTGCCATCCAAGTTTATTCTATGCCACTCTGGAAGAATCTGGAAAAATACTTAAAATACATTTTAAGTATTCATCATGCACATGTATTGTATTTTCTTTTATATATGTTCGGGTGGATATCTTTCTCCACTAATGGTTTGCATTTCAATTCTTGTATCATGTTTTTTGAAACACAGAAGTCATCATTAATATAAACCAACTAATTTTATTAATTGTTAATTTTTGTCCTGGTTAAGAAATCCTTATGAGAATATTGTGTCATGTTCCCCTTACCTTCAGGACTTGAATCTATTTGGAAATGACTGTGTGTGTTTTGAGGTAGGAGTCAATATTTAGTTACTTTTTAAAAAAAAAATTCAATTAATCCAGCATTGTTCTGATCACCTTGTGTATTTCAATGTAGAAGAGCACACTAATAATGCGGGGTTATTTATCTATGTGGTGAGAATTCCAAAATGAAGCCCACCATGGAAGGTCAAATTATATTAACTCAAAGGATAGATTAGTACAATGAAACATGATGGATAAGAGCAATATAGTTAGATAAAGAGAAAGAAAAACAACATTTCCCAGTTATCATTAAGACTTCACTCCAAGTTTTTGCATGAAGCAAAAGATCCCAACTCTCTTCCACTGATTTTAACTCCATTCAGACATGTCTGTCATCTATTATTTCACTCAGTGGCAGTCAAAAATAAAAAAAAACCAGATAATATATTTCATGCCATGATCATGAATAATGATTTTTCAAAAATTAATTAATAAAGAACCAATATATATACTTTTAGTGTTTTTACTACATTTAATAGTAACACAATAAATGAGTTTTAATAACATTAGAATGCAATTCAAGACATAAAACCGAACCTATTTGTCCTGTTTGATAAGGCACAAGGAAGAGGGCTTTCTGGGATAAAGGGGTTCCCACAGCAGATGAACACATTTCTGATTTGTCTCTGGTCAGAGGAGAATACAGAAAAAGATAGGTCTGAGAGGAAGTGAGAAGGAGCAATTAGGGATGGTGTATATAGGGGAGCTTTGACTAACATCAACGAAGCTCACAGTTCTAGCTTCACAATCCAGGAATAATTCTACATGGTTGGTAGGTCTTGGGACATACTGCAGTGTAATTGGGGAGGTGGTAAAGAGACTGCACTGAATGTCGTTCTTAACACACCCAAGACTAAAGAGTCCCTCCTCTCCATATATATTGCCATTCTGATTCTTCCCTTTCCAATACTTATTACAGACACCAAAAGCCCAATTCCAAGAGTCCCCCACATGGACCTCCCAGTAATATTTGCCAGAGGTGAAAGTCTGAGCACCCCATGCAAGAAAACTTGTAGGTGTTGCAGTGATATGGGGCGGATTTTGACGGTCACATCCAATACAAATGCTTCTCAAATCTCCACATCGGAAGATATGACTGTTGGCTTCATTGTGATGCAGAGTAATATCCACTGCAAAATAAATAAATAAATAAATAGAAAGAAAGAAAGAAAGAAAACATGCATAGGCATGTGTAAATAAGCAAAAATCGTTCTATCAAAAAGTTAATTTACCAGGAAACGTAAAGTCACAAGGACACTTTTGCTTGTAACTTCTAATAAAGTATAGAGATGATTAATATTATCTACAAGACAAACAAAATGCTAACCACAGATATTAAAAATGTTTTGAAAACTTACATACTGACAGCCAAATGTAAGACCAACTTCTTTCAATCCAATTTTCAAAGCAAAATTTGCACATTATACGCCCTAAATGCTATGCTGTTATCAAGATCTTTATTTAGAAATGTTTCTTATTCTTAAAAACTAGTGCCATCATTTTGGAAAGCATGTGAAGATTTTCAGTTACTCAAGAACTGCTCTAGATAACTGGATAAAAATCCATAAGTACATGTCATAAGTGATCATTTGAAGCAGATTTCTGCAAAATCTTTTACCAGTCTCTCTGTGGCCCTCCATGTTAGCTTGGGGCTGAAGCTGGATTTTAGACTTAACATGTAGCTTTTCATATTGCAATTAAACTGAACTTCTTTTTGTTTGATGTTTTACTTGTATTCACAAAATGATTTCTTTTTATTTTTACCCATTAACTAATTTTCTTGGAAATACATAATATATATCCATTTAAAAAATTAAAAAACCCCAAGAATCTCCAGCGAACTATATTCCCCAAAAGAACAGTTCTTAACTGTTCAAATGAATACACCAAAGAAATGTAAAATTTTGTATTTAACATTAAATAACTCACCTTCATTCTGAGCATTGTTCCATTTGCTCCTTTTTTAGATTTGCTACACTACTCCTTTTTTCCCATTACATTACTCAGTACATATGAGGCCATAATGTATTTGTTTTTCACTATCTTTCAATCTTAATGCTATAAATCTGACTATACAGACACAGATACAAAAGGGTTGCATGATTATATTGTTCTCTTATGCTTATAAAGTAGTAAAATATTTGATAAAGGATGAAATATTACCTATGTGATCCTAACAATAATAATATTTAGATAGTGGGGGTGCTGCCTGTGGGTGGAGACTTACCTCAGAATTGGTTGAGCCTGTCCCTCAGTCCAGTGATGGGCCCTGCCCTGAGCGCTAGATTCAGAGGCTGGGGCATGTGCAGCAGCACGGACTCACTCCTGCAAGGAAAAACCTGCAGTTACAACATCTACAGCCATAAAATAAATAAAAATCACTACTTGTGTTTAAAAGACATTTCATGAGAATCCTTTGAACCCACAAATTTGATAATTCAAAAATTATTCCTTCCTTTTTGGAATTAATTTCTATTTACAGTTTCCAAATTTTAAAGCATAGTGGGAGAGTCTGAGTCAGAATTCAGTCTGATGTTTCTTATTTTTTGCCCCAAATGTGTAAAGTTCCTTAGCCTTATGGCCTTGAGAATATTTAGAAACGAAATTCTGAGTTCCACTTCTTGGCAGACTCCCCTGACATCTTTGTCTGAAATAGAGGGGTTCTGGGGAGACTGCTGCATCTGCTGCTTCCTTTTCAAGATAAAGAATGTGAAACTTGTCCTAGGCAGCTAGACCTGCCTTTTAGAAACAAGCTTCCCTAGAGACTTATACAGTTCTAACACTCCATAGTTTTTTCAATCTATTTTTCGGAACTGTTAACTGATATGTGTATAGGTATGAACAACAAATCATCAACTTTTTCACTGCTAAAATACTTCCCCCACTTCTCTCCTGCTTCCTCTGGTGACTTTCTCACCATCCACAAAACAAAACTTCATCTTTCACCTATGCAGGCTTTTAAGCAATAAAACAAAGTCAGGAATAAACATGTTTTTTAAAATTTTACTTCACTATTTATTTATTTATGTATTTATTTACTTAGTGGTCTTGTCTTTTCTGGTGTGGGAATGAAAGAAGATGCAAAAAAAAATAGTATCAATATCTTAATCGTTTATGCCATGACTTTGGTAGAGCCTGCTTTGATATTCGTGGAAAGTGAAAGAACATATGCTAAAATCCAGGTACATACTCACCTGTATAATATGTCTCCAAAAGCCTGTAAAAAAAAAAAATAGAAAGATTTAGTGCAGTTCACAAGATGCATCTTTCATTAAGTTCAGTGTGAAATTTGGAGTCAGTTCCTCAAGATATTATTTCCCTACCTTCTTCTCTTCTGCAAAGCATTTTCTATTTCTTCTGTAATGAAAAACCCAGTCAATCATATTGTCACTAATTAATGTCCCGGGAAAGTCTGAGTCTTGAAGACATTCTCCAAAAAGTGAAGGGAGAAGAAGCCCAGAGAGTCTATGCTCCATGGTAACCTCGAATAACCTACTCGGTCATCTTTCCCAGAACCTATTATCCAAATGAGTGGATCCCAAAATAATATTAATGTGAGCCTAGATTCCCAAAACTTCTGATCTTGCCATGTCCTCAAATTAACCTAAATGTAAATGAATCACTCACTATTTTATACATGTTTGACAACCCTAAATGTATTATTGACTTAGTTGGGGAATAGTTATTGGGGCTGTTACCTTGACCATTCCACAAAGTTTTGTGGCTGGTGGATAAAGTAGGAGGGACCTTTGGCCTGGTAGGATCCCTTGGCGGGGCTATACTCTCCCAATAAAGTAGCATTAGTTATGCGAATGTGTTTTTGGAAACACATCATGGAAATAAAGGTAGGGAGATGGATTTCAGCCATGAGGAAAATACTTATACATGTGAATAGTCAAAAACCTGAAACCACATTGCGAGTTTGTACCTGAAGTAGCTCCACATGTGGTTTATGGCACATTTTCATCAGCTCCGCTTACATTCCTCTTAAAAATCTCCCTCCTATGAGCCATTTTGGCTTTACTTAAATGAAGTTGATGAAAAATATCTTTTCCCTTCTTTTTCAGCATCTCCAAATTATGTTTTTCTTCTTCATGATGAAATGCAGGCATCTTCTGATACTCAGCTTTAATAGCTTCTAGCCTTACATTCACATAATACGGCAGTAATAATGGGTTAGTCAAAAGAGAAATGTATATATCCATCTCCTATTAAATCTCACTGATTCCTTTTGTCTCTCGAACATCCAATAGTTTAAACCTCAGTCTTGCCAGTTCTTAGAATCCACAAATTTTTTCCTTTCCTTTCTTTCTGCATAAAGATCAACATAGATGTATCTGACCAATTACATTAAATTTATTCAAGATAAGGAGTGTTCTAAGATAGTTGGAAATAAAAAAAAACACAATTTGAATTTCTCTATTCCAACCCACATTTATGGAAAAGTAAGAATAGTTCATGCTTAAGAGTTGGAGTATAGAGCTATAGTTACTAGAAAGGAAATAATTATTTCTATTTCTGAGATATGTAACAAGTTGCTTAAACTCATTATATATGAAATGACCTTAGACTAACATGTCCAGCTAAATGCATTTCGCCCAGCAAAACCTATCCTAATAAAGCTGCATTTATGATTTGGCCATTTTTGTCTCCCTGAATTCATTTCCTTCCATTCTTTTTCTAAGTCATCCCAATCTGAAACATAGACTTCTTTGGTTCCCCAGGCCTCCAAATATACACAAACTCAAAATTACTGCATATGCTGTTCTCTCCAACTGGAATTTTACACACAGACACACACACACACATATACACACTCATGGTCCACATATATATCCATACACACTTTTGTGCTCCCCTTCCTCTTTGAAACTTTGTTCAATTTGAATTTTTCAGTGAGTCTTTTTTCTGACCACCCTATTTTAAACTCACACACTAATCTCCAGTTTCTGGCCTCTATTGTCCTTTTCTACTTCCCTGCTTGATTATTCTCCAACAAAGAACTTACCACACTCGAACACATCATGTATTGCACATATTTGCATGTTGACCATTTTTGCCTCTCTCATTTGGATTGTACGATTTGTGAGGACAAAGATGCTTTCTTTCTTCTATACTGGCAAATTTTCTAATTTAATATTCAACATAGACTAGGTTCTTATGAAATACTTTTCAACACACTAATATTAGCTATCATACCCTCAGAGTATACATCCACAAAGAGGAAATCATTTTTAATATTTTTCTGAAGTCCTCAGAGTTCTCCTTATATTTAGATACTAGTTCCCATATTTTGGGCATGTTTGCATGTCTCCCTCAAGACACAAATCCATATTTCTCACCACTTTTCTCATCATATGTTATGTATTATTCAATATTAATTAGTTTGGATTCTTAATTTCATGGTTGCCCTAGATTTCCCCTGTCACTCTTTCTGCCTCAAATTTTCCATGCAATTCCAAATACTACTTGTCCACCAGCATTCAGATTAATGCTGACCCAGGCTCAGAAGGTTCACTTGAGCTTTCCATGACTGCCAAATAACTCTTATGCCCAGCATTTATCCAACCAGCACATATAGAATGCTGTGAGATGGCCCAGTTTCTTGTATCTGTTGGTGTATAGCTACAGGTTTGTATGAAAACAAATCAGCATGCTTTGGGTAACATCAACGGTTTTGTTAGAAATCCCATCTAATAGTCACACTATTCTACATAAGAAATGAGACCATTTTTTCTCAATGTTTTCTTCTCTTTTTTTTTTTTTTTTGACTCCCAGAAACATTACGGTTTGATATCAAGTTCCTATTTTAAGAGTCACCCATTTGCCCACCATAAGTTCCTGGAGAAGGTAGGGTATTACAGGACTAACCTTCCAGTGGCTGATTCTGGTGGTTTCCACATTCAGGTTTCTCTGATTTTCACAAGCTTTTTCCCATAAAGACTGCATTTTCTTTAAAAGCTTCTCCTGCAAAAGAGCCATAAATTGAAGCACCAGTGAAGACAATAAAGTAACATACAGACCGTTTCATTGGGAGGGGGCCCAGAATGAGAGACAAATAAGTCCCTAGTAAATGGCATTTCTTCTGTTTCACTTCTTCCTCGTCAAATCTCAGAGGTTTGAAGCTAAGAAAGCCCAAAAGAGAGTTGCTTAAAGGGACTCAGAGTTGGCTTTACCCAATCTCCAAGAAAATAGGGCCACAGGAATTTCATGTGTCCTTTATAGAAATAGATCTTCAGAGGCATCACTTACCCAGTGTTCCTCAGCAGCCCACTCAGCGGGACAGTGTCTGTGATACCGGTGCTCCTGAGAGCTGGAGCACAGCAAACAGAGCAGGCTCCTGTCCACTTCACAGAACATCTTCTTTGTCTCCCTGTGAATGCCACACATTTGCTCCTCAGAGCTCAGGAATAGCCAGAGACTGGCTTTTCTGGCAAGGGAAGCCATCTTCTTCAATCGAATGTTAGTTTTGAGGTTTCTCTGCTGTATTGTCTTTATGCATTCAAAGCACTGAGTAAGAATTGGGATGTCTTGCCAGTTGAGGTAGAAACAGGGCCTGCAAAAGCTGTGCCCACAGTCTATGGTGACCGGGTCTATGAAGTAGTTCATGCAGATGGGGCAGGTGAGTTCCCTCTGGAAGACTTGCGAGATTCCAGAATTCATGTTTCTGAGGAAGAAAGAGCAGCATGTCATTTTGGGGTCTGGGTTGATGAAAAGCTTCTGAACATGTGGAGATAAGTGATAGCTATAGTTTCTTCTCTTGACAGTGTTCATTAAAGCACAACAAACTATTTCTTCTGTAACAAAAATAAAAATCTCACACAGAGAGTCTCCCGGCTTTATAATAGATATTACTGACTAGATGCCTCACAACCCCTTCTACTCCTAGTGCCTGTCTGTAACATAATACTAATCTATTCAATTTCCCATTTTTTTCTGAATGTGGATCTGGAAATTGGGTTTGATTCTAAGTAGCCTAGAATAAATTGTAGTTGTTCCTATTCTTCTTTCATATGACTGCCGAATGAGTGTGAAAGAGTGGGAAAAACTGTCTTGGCCAAAGAAATACGAGAAGATGGCTAGAGGGTCCTATGATATATTTTGAGAGAGAGACACAACAGTGGGGCAGCAAACCACCATGGCACATGTTTACCTGTGTAACAAGCCTGCATGTCCTGCACGTTTATCTCAGGACTGAAAATAATATAAAATTAAAGTAAAATAAAAAACCAAATCCAAAGCGAAATAGAAAAACCAATCAACCAACCAAATAAACAAATAAAAAACAGCAATTAAACCAATTTAGGTTGAATAGAAGAGAAAAAATCATTAAAGATATCGGACCTTTTTATTTTCTCTTGGATTGAATTAACTTCTCCTAGGGATACCCAAACTCTGAACTAACATATAGTAGGATTTTTGTTAAACTTAAAGAGGTGTAATTATATTTCCATGGTGTGATGGTGAATTTTAGGTATCAGTCTGACTGGATTAACCAACACCCAGGGAAATGGTGCAGCATTGTTTCTGGGTGGGTCTGTGAAGGTGTTTCCGGAGGAGAGAGACATGTGAGTTGGTGAGCTGAGTGGGACCATCATCCCTCAGTTTGAGTGGGTACCATTCAATCAGCTTGTAGCTCAGATAAAAGGAAAAGGCCAGAGGAAAGGCAATTTCCTCTTTCTTTCTCCTGAAGCTGGTTCTGAGGCTTTCAGCCTTGAGATCAGTCAAGATACCAGTATCCTCACTACATCAGCTTAAAGACAGCCTATATTTGGAACTGCTCAGACTCCATAATCAAGCAAACGAATTTTCCTGATGAATTCCCCTCGTGTAGAATCATGTGTAGCTTGAGGACAGATATATGTTCTAAGAAATGTGTAAGGAGGCTTTATTTATTTACTTTCTGAGGTGGGGACTCACTGTGTCACCCAGGCTGGAGTGCAGTGGTGCAATCTCGGCTCACTGCAACCTCCACCTCCTGGGTCAAAGCGAGTCTCCTGCCTTAGCCTCCTGAGTTCCTGGGATTATAGGAACATGCCACTACACCCGGCAAATTTTTTCATTTTTTTTTTTTCCAGTAGAGATGAGGTTTCGCCATGTTGGCCAGGCTGGACTTGAACTCCCGGCCTCAAGTGATCTGCCTGCCACGGCCTCCAAAAGTGCTGGGATTACAGGCATGAGTCACTGCGCCTAGGTTTTATTGTTTTATTGTTTTGACATGATAGAATCTACCTTTACAAACCTAGATGGTATAGCCTGCTACAAACCTATGGTATACAGTACAGCCTATTGCTCCTAGACTACAAAACTGTACAGCGTGTTCTATACTGTATACTCTAGGCAATTGTAACACAGTGGTAATTATTTAGTATGTAAACATTTAAATACAGAAAAGGTGCAGTAAACATACTGGTATTATAATCTTATGTGACCACCATGTGTGGTTTGTTGTTGACTGAAATGGCTCATGAATGTATCTCTACATGTATACATATACACCCTATGATTCTGTCTGTCTGGAGAGCCCTGACTAATATATAAACTATGGTCTTTGGCAATTTTAAGTCCTTTTCGTTACTCTCCTTTATTTGATAACGCTGCTGAATTTTAGTGAAAGCAATGAAAAATCTTAGAATTGTAAATATTCTCCAGAGGTCATCTAAGTCATTGTAAGGAATTTTTCATAGTTTAATAAGATTAAAACTCAAGTGAGATGGCAACCACCATCACATATCAAATTATATCATATATTTATTTGGTCAAAAAATTGTGTTTTGATTTCCAAACTGGGATGTTTTGGGGAGCTTTCTCATTTTTTTCAGTTTCACTATTTTTCATCTCTCATCATTACCTTACTAATTTAAAGTTATGTGTAAATGCTGAATGAATGAATGAACATTCATTAATGTCTTCTCAATTCAATTGTATAATATTAATACACTCATTACACATATATTTACACACACCTATGTGTACATACATGTATAAATATCAACTCCATATATTCATTATGCATACATATCTGTTGCAGCAAACACTAGATATTTTCATTTTTTCAAAACTATATTGAAGAATGATAGAAAATGCAAAATAACAACAATTAATATCCTCATAATTCATAAAATCTATAGTAAGAATATGAATTACAGATGGTATCATTGTGTAGATTTAAGATAATGAGATATTTTTAACACTCTAATTTATTATTTTGTAAAGGAAAGAAGATATAATTTTATCAATATAAGTTTCACTCACCGCTGGGTTCTTTGAAGGGTTCCCACAATGATTCTTCGAGACATAATTCTGTTAAGTACTCCTCAAGGTCAGGAGCTCATTCGCTGCAGTACTGAGTTTCAGAGGTCACCAAAACACAGCTCCCTCTAAGTGCACTCCTTCTCCTTTGGAGAAAACTGAGCTTGTCTCTTCTATGTCCTTTATAAGAATCTGTGAAGACCACACCCACCTCTTTAAGTGGGTGGAGTATTGAGAAAGGTTGAGAATAAGATGATTAGGTTTATGCAGTATTTAGATCACACCTTTGCACGGCTGATTAAATTATCATCACTCCTTAAAAAACCATGACTGAAATGAATCATATGTAACATAAATCCTATCAGATTTGACATACACTGCAAATTAAATAAGATGCATTTTATACTGTTTATTGAGCTTCATCCAAGATACAGGCATTCCTTTAAGGGCACATTTATTTATTCTAGAGAAACTGTCTCCTTGTGGAGTGCAGTGGTATAATCATAGCTCACTGCAGCCTTGAATTCCAAGGCTCAAGGGATCCTCCTTCTTCAGCCTCCCAAGTAGCTAGGACTACAGGCTCAAATCATCCCACCTGGCTAATTTTTTTAAAAACTTTTCATAGAGTCAGGGTATGGCTCTGTAGCCCAGGCTGTTCTCCAACTCCTGTCTTCAAGTGATCCTCTGGTCTTGGACTTCCAAAGTGCTTGGGAGTACAGGCATAAACCACCTCGTCCAGCCTTAAATGCTGCTTTAGTACATTTATAGGATATTGGAAGAGAAGTCCAACAGGAAGGTAAAACTTTTTTTTTTGTTTTCTACCACTCTAAGAGAAATCACTGACTAACCAAATAACTCTACTAATTTGAGGTCTCTTATTGAATTTACAAAACTTTGCCAATCTCGTGGGTGAAATACGAGTTATTATTTTAATGCTTTTCTCCACATGGTGCATGATGTTCTGCCATGACTAGAAATGCAATATAGTAATTAATTTGGGGATTATAAACAAGTTTTAGGACGTAGGCTAATTCACAAATACAGAATCCAAACGATAGGGATGGATTATATTTTTCTTTCTATAACAAATATTTTTGTTGTCATGTGACAATTTAAAAAAGAAAAGAGATTTCAGAAGCGGCTACTCAAATATATTCTGACAGAGGAATTCTTTGCCAATAGCCCCCACAAGACTTATATTCAAGAGTTTCAGAACAGTGAAGACAAATCTGTCAGCCCTATGTCTGTCGAGGTTCAAAAAGTCTGTCAAGGTTCAAAAATCGAAGCAGAACCCATAATATATATGTATACTTAGGGAGATTCACATATGAATTAAGTGCAAGGAACTGGTTTCCACAGTTGATGGGATGCCTGAGCAAGTATGAGATCCCTGTTAAAGTCAGTTAGGAAGAAAAATCCTCAGCTGGCTGGATCCCAGTGATCATGATTCAAAGCTTTGGTCCCAAGTCAGTAGGGGGCAATTGGAAGATTACAGTCCCATTCGCTATTTTAAATGTTGTTCAAGGAATGCCTATGTCTTTCTTTAAGGGACTTTCACTGATGAAGTCAGGCTTACCTGAATACACTTGCTAGTTACAAGAGCAGGACCTTTCATTACCTCTGCAAAATACCTTCCCAGTAGGTCCTACGTGAGTGTTTCATTGAATAATAATAAGAAAGTTTGTCTATGCCACACAGTCCAGTTTCATTCTCCTACATGTGGCTTGCCAATGATCCCAGCACCATTTGTTGAATAGGGTGTCCTCTCCCTACTTTATGTTTTTGTTTGCTTTGTCAAAGATCAGTTGGTTGTAAGTATTTGGGTTCATTTCTGGGTTCTCTATTCTGTTCCACTGGTCTATGTGCCTATTTTTATACCAGTACCATGCTGTTTTGGTGATGAATAAAGGCCTGGAGTACGGGGATGTAATGCTCAGGGGCCAGACAGTTGGCTGCAGCAGCACAGCCTCATCCAGCAATTAGAGAGGGGATAGGAACAGAGAAAGGTGGGGAAGACTAGAGGCAGGTTTATGAAAGGAACCAGAGCCCTTGGTTGGGTCGAAATAGGGGTGGAGGGAGATTCCAGCTTGTCTTCTGCAGCATGAATACCTTGACCCCCTGCCACAGACATCTATACACAGCAGCTCTCCTGTGACTGAGATTCTCAATCTTTGTGATATGCGCATTCAACTCGCAGAGGTGAAACTTTCTTTTGATAGAGCAGTTTTGAAAAACTCTTTTTGTAGATTCTGCAATTGGACATTTGCAGCGCTTTGAGGCCTATGGTGAAAAAAGAAATATATACACATAAAAACACGACAGAAGCATTCTCAGAAACTTCTTTGTGATGTGTGCATTCAACTCAGAGTTGAACCTTTCTTTTGAAAGAGCAGTTTTGAAACATTCTCTTTGTAGAATATGCAAGTGGACATTAGGAGCCCTTTGATGAGTATGGTGAAAAGGGAAATATCTTCACATAAAAACAAGACAGAAGCATTCTCAGAAACTTCTTTGTGATGTCTGCTTTGAACTCACACAGTTGAAAATTCCTTTTCTTAGAGTAGTTTTGAAACACTCTTTTTGTAGAATTTGCAAGTGGATATTTGGAACGCATTGAGACCTTCATTGGAAACGGGGTATCTTCACTTAAAAACTAGATAGAAGCATTCTCAGAAACTTCTTTGTGATGTGTGCATTCAACTGACAGAGTTGAACATTCCTTTTCATAGAGCAGTTTTGAAACACTCTTTTTGTAGAATCTGGAAGTGGATATTTGGACAGGGTTGAGGCCTTTGTTGGAAAAGGGAATATCTTCACATAAAAACCAGACAGAAGCATTCTCAGAAACTTCTTTGAGATGTGTGCATTCAACTCACAGAGTTGAAACTTTATTTTGATAGAGCAGTTTTGAAACACTGTCTTTGTAGAATCTGTAAGAGGACATTTGGAGCACTTTAAGGCCTGTGGTGAAAAAGTAAATATCTTCACTTAAAAACTAGACAGAAGCATTCTCAGAAACTTCTTTGTGATGTTTGCTTTCAACTCACAGAGTACAACATTCATTTTCTTAGATCAGTTTTCAAAGACTCTTTTTGTAGAATTTGCAAGTGGGTATTAGGAGTGCTTTGAGGCCTTCGTTTGAAACGGGATATTTCACTTAAAAACTAGACAGAAGCATTATCAGAAACTTCTTTGTCAAGTGTGAATTCAACTCACATAGTTGAACCTTTCTTTTGGAAGAGCAGTTTGGAATCACTGTTTTTGTAGAATCTGCAAGTGGATATTTGGACGACTTTGAGGCCTTTGTTGGAAACGGCAATATCTTGACATAAAAACTAGACAGAAGCATTCTCAGAAATTTCTTTCTGATGTGTGCATTCAACTCACAGAGTTGAATGTTCCTTTTGAAAGAGCAGTTTCAAAACACTCTTTTTGTAGAATCTGCAATTGTATATTTCACCGCTTTGAGGCCTTCGGTGGAAACGTGAATGTCTTCACATAAAAAGTAGGCAGAAGCATTCTCAGAAAGTTCTTTGTGATGTGTGCATTCAACTCGCAGAGTTGAACCTTTCTATTGATAGAGCAGTTTTGAATCACTCTTTTTGTAGAATCTGCAAGTGGAAATTTAGACCGCATTGGGGCATTGGCTGAAAAGGGAAATATCGTCACATAAAAACTACACAGGAGCATTCTCAGAAACTTCTTTGTGATGTGTGCATTCAACTCAAAGAGTTGAATCTTTCTTTTGATAGAGCTGTTTTCAAACACTCTCTTTGTAGAATCTGTAAGCGGACATTTGGAACCCTTTTATGCCTGTGGTGAAAAAGGAAATATCTTCACATGAAAACAAGTCAGAAGCATTCTCAGAAACTACTTTGTGGTGTGTGCATTCAACTCACAGAGTTTAAACTTTCTTTTGACAAAGCAGTTTTGAAACACTCTCTTTGTAGAATCTGCAAGAGGACATTTGGAGCCCTTTGATGCCTCTGGTGCAAAAGGAAGTATCTTCGCATAAAAACAAGACAGAAGCATTCTCAGAAACTTCTTTGTTTGTGTGCATTCAACTCACAGAGTTGAACCTTCCTTTTCATAGAGAAGTTTTGAAACACTCTTTTTGTAGAATCTGCAAGTGGATATTTGGACCGGGTTGAGGCCTTTGTTGGAAAAGGGAATATCTTCACATAAAAACTAGACAGAAGCATTCTCAGAAACTTCTTTGAGATGTGTGCATTCAACTCACAGAGTTGAAACTTTATTTTGATAGAGCAGTTTTGAAACACTGTTTTTGTAGAATCTGTAAGAGGACATTTGGAGCACTTTAAGGCCTGTGGTGAAAAAGTAAATATCTTCACATAAAAAGTAGACAGAAGCTTTCTCAGAAACCACTTGGTGATGTGTGCATTCAACTCACAGAGATGTACCTTTCTTTTATTAGAGCAGTTTTGAAGCACTTTTTTTGTAGAATCTTCAAGTGGACGTTTTGAGCACGTTGAGGCCTATGGTGAAAAAGGAAATTTCTTCACATAAAAACTAGAGAGAAGCATTCTCAGAAATCTCTTTGGGAGGTGTGCATTCAACTCACAGACTTGAACGTTTCTTTTGACAGAGAAGTTTTGAAACACTCTTTTTGTAGAATCTGCAAGTGGACATTTGGACCGTTTTGAGGCCTGTGGTAGAAAATGAAATATCTTCATAAGAAAACTAGACAGAAGCATTCTCAGAAACTTCTTTGAGATGGGTGCTTTCAACTCACAGAGTTGAACCTTCCTTTTGACAGAGCAGTTTTGAAACACTCTTTTTGTAGAATTGGCAAGTGAATATTTGGAGTGCTTTGAGACATATGGTATAAAAGGAAATATCTTCATATAAAAACTAGACACAAGCATTCTCAGAAATTATTTTGTGATGTTTGCATTCAACTTACAGAGGTGAACATTCCTTTTGATACAGCAGTCATGAAAAACTCTTTATATAGAATCTGCAAGTGTTTATTTGGAGAGCTTTGAGGCCTTCGGTGGAAACGGGAATATCTTCACATAAAAAGTAAACAGAAGCATTCTCCAAAACTTTTTTGTGATGTGTGCATTCAACTCACAGAGTTGAACCTTCCCTTTGATGGAGCAGTTTTGAAACACTCTTTTTGTAAAATCTGCAAGAGGATATTTGGAGTGCTTTGAGGCCTTTGCTGGAAACGGGAATATCTTCACATAAAAACGGGAATATCTTCACATAAAAACTGGACAGAAGCATTCTCAGAAACATGTTTGTGATGTGTCCATTCAACTCACAGAGTTGAACTTTCCTTTTCATTGAGCAGTTTTGAAGCACTCTTTTTGTAGAATCTGCTAGTGGATATTTGGAGCACTTGGACGCCTTCGTTGGAAACGGGAATATCTTCACATAAAAATTAGACAGAAGCATTCTCAGAAACTGCTTTGTGATGCTTGCTTTCAACTCACATAGTTGAACATTCCCTTTGATAGAGCGGTTTTGAAACACTCTTTTTGTAGAATCTGCAAGTGGATATTTGGAGCGCATTGAGGCCTTCGGTGCAAACGGGAATATCTTTACATAAAAAGTAGACAGAAGCATTCTGAGAAACTACTTTGTGATGTGTGCATTCAACTCACAGATTTGAACAGGCCTTTTGATAGAGCAGTTTTGAAACACTCTGTTTGGAGAATCTGCAAGTGGAAACTTGGAGCACTTTGAGGCCTTCATTGGAAAAGGGAATATCTTCACATAAGAAATAGACAGAAGCATTCTCAGAAACTTCTTTTTGATGTGTGCATTCAACTGAGAGAGTTGAACTTTCCTTTTGATAGAGCAGTTTTGAAACCCTCTTTTTGTAGAATCTGCAAGTGGATATTTGGAGCGCTTTGAGGTCTATGGTGGAAACGGGAATATCTTCCCATATAAACTAGACAGAACCATTCTCAGAAACTTCTTTGTGATGTGTGCATTCCACTCTGGGAGTTGAACAGTTTTGAAACACTCTTTTTGTAGAATCTGCAAGTGGATATTTGGAGCGTTTTGAGGCCTATGGTAGAAAAGGAAATATATTCATATAAAAACCAGACAGAAACATTCTCAGAAATTACTTTGTGTTGCTTGCATTCAACTCACAGAGTTGAACATTCCTTTTGATAGAGCTGTTTTGAAACACTGTTTTTCTAGAATCTGCAAGTGGATATTTGGAGCGCTTGGAGGACTTTGTTGGAAGCAGGAATATCTTCACATAAAAATTAGACAGAAGCATTCTCTGAAACTCCTTTGTGATGTGTGCATTCAACTCAGACAGTTGAACCTTCCTTTTGATAGAGCAGTTTTGAAACACTCTTTTTGTAGAATCTGCAAGTGAATATTTGGAGCGCTTTGAGGTCTGTGGTATAAAAGGAAATATCTTCATATAAAAAATAGACAGAAGCATTCTCAGAAACTACTTTGTGATACTTGCATTCAACTCAGAGAGTTTTAACTTCCTCTTTATAGAGCAGTTTTGAAACACTCTTTTTGCAGAATCTGCAAGTGGATATTTAGAACGCTTTGAGGCCTTTGGTAGAAAAGGTAATATCTTCATATAAAAACTAGACAGAAACATTCTCAGAAACAACTTTGTGATGCTTGCATTCAACTCACAGAGTTGAACCTTCCTTTTGATAGAACAGTTTTGAAACACTCTTTTTGTAGAATCTGCAAGTGGATATTTGGAGAGCTTTGAGGCATACGTTGGAAACGGGAATATCTTCCCATTAAAAACTAGACAGAAGCATTCTCAGAAATTTATTTGTGATGTGTGTATTCAACTCAGAGTTGAACCTTCCTTTTCATAGAGCAGTTTTGTAGGAGCTGCAAGTGGATATTTGGAGCACTTTGAGGACTTTGTCGGAAAAGGGAATATCTTCACATAAAAACTAGACAGAAGCACTATCAGAAACTTCTTTGTAATGTGTGCATTCAACTCACAGACTTTAACCTTCCTTTTGATAGAGCAGTTCTGAAACACTCTTTTTGCAGGATCTGCAAGTGGATATTTGGAGCGCTTTGAGGTCTATGGTTCAAAAGTTAATATCTTCATATAAAAACTAGAGAAAAGCATTCTCAGAAACATCTTTGTGATGTGTGCATTCAACTCACAAAATTGAGCTTTCCTTCCCATAGTGCAGTTTCGAAACACTCTTTTTGTAGAATCTGCAAGTGGATATATGGAGCGCTTTGAGGCCTGCCGTGGAAATGGAAATACCTTCACACAAAAACTAGAGAGAAGCATTCTCAGAAACTTCTTTGTGATGTGTGTGCATTCAACTCACAGAGTTCAACCTTCCTTTTAATAGAGCAGTTTTCAAACAGTCTTTATGTAGAATCTGCAAGTGGATATTTGGAGCACTTTGATCCTAAGGTAGAAAAGGAAATATATTCATATAAAAACTACACAGAAGCATTCTCAGAAACCACTTTGTGATGCTTACTTTCAACTCACAGAGTTGAACATTCCTTTTGATAGAGCAGTTTTGAAACACTCTTTTTGTAGAATCTGCAAGTGGATATATGGAACGCTTTGAAGCCTAAGGTAGAAAAGAAAATATCTTCATATAAAAACTAGACAGAAGCATTTTCAGAAACTACTTTGTGATGCTTCCATTCAACTCACAGTGTTGAACATTCCTTTTGAGAGAGCAGTGTTGAAACACTCTTTTTGTAGAATCTGCAAGTGGATATTTGCAGCACTTTGAGGCCTTCGGTGGAAACAGGTATATCTTCAAAAAAAAGATAGACAGAAGCATTCTCACAAACTTCTTTGTGATGTATGCATTCAGCTCACCGAGTTGGACCTTCCTTTTGATAAACCAGTTTTGAAACACTCTTTTTGTAGAATCTGAAAGTGGATGTTTGGAGCAATTTTTGGCCTTCAGTGGAAAAGGGAGTATATTCACATAAAAACTAGACAGAAACATTCTCAGAAACTACTTTGTGATGTGTGCATTCACCTCACAGAGTTGAACCTTCCTTTTGAAAGAGCAGTTTTGAAACACTCTTTTTGTAGAAACTGCAAGTGGATATTTCAAATGCTTTGAGGTCTACAGTGGAAACGGGAATATCTTCCCATATAAACTAGACAGAAGCGTATTCAGAAACTTCTTTGTGATGTGTGCAATCAACTCACAGAGTTGAATTTTCCTTTTGATAGAGCTGTTTTGAAACACTCTTTTTGTAGCATCTGCAAGTGGATATTTGGAGCACTTTGAGGCCTATGGTAGAAAAGGAAATATCTTCATATAAAAACTACACAGAAGCATTCTCAGAAACTACTTTGTGACGCTTGCTTTCAACTGACAAAGTTGAACATCTCTTTTGATAGAGCAGTTTTGAAACACTCTTTTTGTAGAATCTGTAAGTGGATATATGGAAGGCTTTGAGGCCTAAGGTAGAAAAGGAAATATCTTCATATAAAAACTAGATGGAAGCATTTTCAGAAACTACTTTGTGATGCTTGCATTCAACTCACAGTGTTGTACATCCTTTTTGAGAGAGCAGTTTTGAAACACTCTTTTTGTAGAATCTGCAAGGGGATATTTGGAGCACTTTGTGGCGTTTGGTGGAAATGGGTATATCTTAAAAAAAAAATGGAAGCATTCTCAGAAACTTCTTTGCGATGTGTGCTTTCAACTCAGTGAGTTGAACATTCCTTGTGATAGAGCAGTTCTGAAACACACTTTTTCTAGAATCTGCAAGTGGATATTTGGAGTGCTTGGAGGCCTTCATTGGAAACGGGAATATCTTCACATAAGAACTAGACGGAAACATTATCAGAAACTTCTTTGTTATGTGTGCATTCAACTCAGAGAGTTGAACCTTCCTTTTGATAGAGAAGTTTTGAAAAACTCTTTTTGTAGGATCTGCAATTGGATATTTGGAGTGCTTTGAGGCCTATGCTGGAAAAGGAAATATCTTCATATAAAAACTAGACAGAATCATTTTCAGTAACTCAGTAACTAAATTGTGATGCTTGCATTCAACTCACAGAGTTGAACATTCCTTTTGAGAGAGCAGTTTTGAAACACTCTTTTTGTAGAATCTGCAAGTGGATATTTGGAGCACTTTATGGCATTTGGTGGAAACGGGATTATCTTCACATAAATACTAGTCAGAAGCATTCTCAGAAACTTCTTTGTGATGTGTGCATTCAACTCACAGATTTGAACCTTCGTAGTGATAGAGGAGTTCTGAAACACTCTTTTTGTAAATCAGCAAGTGGATATTTGGAGCGCTTTGAGGCCTTCATTGGAAACTGAATATATTCAAATAAAAACTAGATAGAAGCATTCTCAGAAACTATTTTGTGATGCTTGCATTCAACTCACAGAGTGGAACCTTGCTTTTCATAGAGCAGTTTTGAAACACTCCTTTTGTAGAATCTGCAAGCGGATATTTGGAGGGCTTTGAGGACTTCGTTGGAAACGGGAATATCTTCACATAAAAACTAGACAGGATCATTCTCAGAAACTTCTTTGTTATGTGTTCATTCAACTCCAGAGTTGAAACTTCCTTTAGATAGAGCAGTTTTCAAACGCTCTGTTTGTAGAATCTGCAAGTGGATATTTGGTGCGCTTTGAGACCTACGGTGGAAACCGGAATATCTTCACATAAAAACAAGAGAGAGTCATCCTCAGAAACTACTTTGTGATGTGGGCATTCAACTCAGAGAGTTGAACCTTCCTTTTGATAGAGCAGTTTTGAAAAACTCTTTTTGTAGGATCTGCAAGTGGATATTTGAAGTGCTGTGAGGCCTATGGTAGAAAAGGAAATATCTTCATATAAAAAATAGACAGAAGCATTCTCCGAAACTACTTTGTGATGCTTGCATTCAACTCACAGAGTGGAACATTCCTTTTGATAGAGCAGTTTTGAGACACTCTTTTTGTAGAATCTGAAAGTAGATATTTGGAGCGCTTTGAGGCCTTCGGTGGAAATGGGAATATCTTCAGATAAAAGCTAGTCAGAAGCATTCTCAGAAACTCCTTTGTGATGTGTGCATTCAAATCAGAGAGGTGAAACTTCCTTTTGATAGAGCAGTTTTGAAACACTCTTTTTGTAGAATCTGCAAGTGGATATTTACAGAGCTTTGTGGCCTTCAATGGAAACGGGAACATCTTCACATAAAAACTAGACAGAAGCATTCTAAGAAACCTCTTTGTGATGTGTGCATTCAACTCACACAGTGGAATCTTCCTTTTGATAGAGCAGTTTTGAAATACTCTTTTTGTAGAATCTGCAAGTGGATATTTGGAACACTTTGAGGCCTACAGTGGAAACGGGAATATCTTCCCATATAAACTAGACAGAAGCATATTCAGAAACTTCTTTGTGATGTGTGTATTCAACTCACAGAGTTGAACCTTCTTTTTGATAGAGCTGGTTTGAAACACTCTTTTTGTAGAATCTGCAAGTGGATATTTTGATGGCTTTGAGGCCTTCGGTGGAAACAGCAGTATCTTCACATGAAAACGAAACAGAAGCATTCTCAGAAACTTCTTTGTGATGTGTGCATTCAACTCACAGAGTTGAACCTTCCTTTCAATAGAGCTGTTTTGAAACACACTTTTTGTGGAATCTGCAAGTGGATATTTGGAGCGCTTTTTGGCCTAAGGTGGAAAAGGAATTATCTTCATATAAAAAATACACAGAAGCATTCTCAGAAACTACTTTGTGATGCTTGCATTCAACTCAGAGAGTTGAAACTTCTTTTTCATAGAGCAGTTTTGAAACACTCTTTTTGTAGAATCTGCAAGTGGTTATTTGGAGTGCTTTGAGGCCTTCGGTGGAAACGGGAAAATCTTCACATAAAAAGCAGACAGAAGTATTCCCAGAAACTTCTTTGTGATGTGTGTATTCAACTCACTGAGATGAACCTTCCTTTTGATAGAGCACTTTTGAAACACTCTTTTTGTAGAATCTGCAAGTGGATATTTGGAGCGCTTTGAGGCCTTTGGGGGAAATGGGAATATATTCACATAAAAACTGGACAGAAGCATTCTCAGAAAATTCTTTGTGATGTGTGCATTCAACTCACAGGGTTGAACCTTCCTTTTGATAAAGCTGTTTTGAAACATTCCTTTGTAGAATCTGCAAGTGGATATTTGGAGCGCTTTGAGGCCTATGGTAGAAAAGGAAAGATCTTCATATAAAAACTACACAGAAGCATTCTCAGAAACTTCTTTGGGACGCTTGCTTTCAACTGACAAAGTTGAACCCTCCTTTAGATGGAGCAGTTTTGAAACACTGTTTTTGTAGAATCTGCAAGTGGATATTTGGAGGGCTTTGTGGTCTTCTTTGGAAACTTGAATATCTTCACATAAAAACTAGACAGAAGCATTCTCAGAAAATTCTTTGTGATGTGTGCATTCATCTCACAGAGTTGAACCTTCCCTTTGATGGAGCAGTTTGAAACACTCTTTTTGTAGAATTTACAAATGCATATTTGGAGCACTTTGAGACCTATGGTGGAAACGGGAATATCTTCATATAAAAACTAGACAGAAGCATTCTGAGAAACTTCTTTGTGATGTGTGCATTCAACTCAGAGAGTTGAATCTTCCTTTTGATAGTGAAGTTTTGAAACACTCTTTTTATAGAATCTGCAAGTGGATATTTGGATGGCTTTGATGCCTTCATTGGAAACGGGAATAACTTCACATAAAAGCATTCTCAGAAACTTCTTTGTGATGTGTGCATTTAACTCACAGAGTTGAAAATTCCTTTTGATAGAGAAGTTTTGAAACACTCTTTTTGTAGAATCTGCAAGTGGATATTTTGAGTGATTTGAGGCCTTTAGTAGAAAAGGAAATATCTTCATATAAAAAGTAGACAGAAGCATTCTCAGGAACTACTTTTTGATGCTTGCATTTAACTGACAGAGTTGAAAAATTCTTTTGATAGAGCTGTTTTGAAACACTCTTTTTGTACAATCTGCAAATGGATATTTGGATCACTTTGAGGCCTTCGGTGGAAATGGGAATAACTTCACATAAAAACTAGAAAGCAGCATTCTCTGAAACTACTTTGTGATTTGTGCATTCAACTCACAGAGTTGAACCTTTCTTATGATAGAGCAGTTTTGAAAATCACTTCTCATAGAATCTGCAAGTGGACATTTGGAGCGCTCAATGCCTAAGGTGAAAAAGGAAATATCTTCACATAAAATGTAAACAGAAGCATTCTAAGAAACTTCTTTGTGATCTTTGCATTCAACTGAAAGTGTTGAACATTCCATTTCATAGAGCAGTTTTGAAACACTCTTTTTGTAGAATCTACAAGTGGATATTTGCATTGCTTTGAGGCCTTCTGTGGAAAAGGGAATGTCTTCACATAAAAAGTAGACAGAAGCATTCTTAGAAACTTCTTTGTGATCAGTGCATTCAACTCACAGAGTTGAACATTTCTTTTGATAGAGCAGTTTTGAAACACTCTTTTTGTAGAATCTGCAATTGGATATTTGGAGAGCTTTGAGGTCTACAGTGGAAATGGGAATATCTTCACATAAAAACTAGACAGACGCATTCTCAGAAACTTCTTTGTGATGTGTGCATTCAACTCACAGAGTGGAACCTTCCTTTTGATAGAGCAGTTATGAAACTCTCTTTTTGTAGAATCTGCAACTGCATATTTAGAGCACATTGAAGCCTTCGGTGGAAATGGGAATATCTTCACATAAAAACTATACAGAAGCATTCTTCAAAACCTCTTTGTGATGTGTGCATTCAACTCACAGAGTTGAACCTTTCTTTTGGTAGAGAAGTTTTGAAACTCTCTGTTTGTAGAATCTGCAAGTGGACACTTTGATCGCTTTGAGGCCTATGGTGAAAAGGAAATATCTTCACATAAAAACTAGACAGAAGCATTCTCAGAAACATCTTTGTGACGTGTGCATTCAACTAAAAGAATTGAACATTTCTTTTGATAGGGGAGTTTTGAAACACTTTTTTTGAAGTATCTGCTAGTGGAAATTTGGAGCACTTTGATGCCTACGGTGAAAAAGGAAATATCTTCACATAAAAACTAGAGGGAATCTTTCTCAGAAACTTCTCTTTGATGAGTGCATTCAACTCACAGAGTTGAATATTTCTTTTGATAGAGCAGTTTTGAAACACTCTTTTTGTAGAATCTGCAAGTGGATATTTGGAGAGCTTTGAGGCCTATGGTGAAAAAGAAAATATCTTCATGGAAAAACTAGATAGAAGGATTCTCACAAACTACTTTCTGATGTGTGCATTCAACCCACAGAGTGGAACCTTTCTTTTGATAGAGCAGTATTGAAAGAATCTCTTTGTAGAATCTGCAAACGGACACTTGGAGCACTTTGAGGACTAGGGTGTAAAAGGAAATGTCTTCACAGAAAAACTAGACAGAAGCATTTTCAGAAACTACTTTCTGATGTGTGCATTCAACTCACAGAGTTGAACCTTTCTTTTGATAGAGCAGTATTGAAATAATCTCTTTGTAGAATCTGCAACTGGACATTTGGAGTGCTTTGAGGCCTAGGGTGTAAAAGGAAATATCTTCACATAAAAACTAGGCAGAACCATTCCCAGTAACTTCTTTGCGATGTTTGCTTTCAACTCACAGAGTTGAACATTCCCTTTGATAGAGCGGTTTCAAAACACTGTTTTTGCGGAATTTGCAAGTGGATTTTCCGACTGCTTTGAGGCCTTCTTTGGAAACGGGAGTATCTTCACATAAAAACTAGACAGAAGCATTCTCAGAAACTTCTTTGTGATGCGTGCATTCCACTCACAGAGTTGAACCTTCCTTTTGAAAGAGCAGTTTCAAAACTCTCTTTTTGTAGAATCTGCAAGTGGACATTTAGAGCGCTTTGAGGCCTTTGTTGAGAAAGGAAATGTCTTCACTTAAAAACTAGACATAAGCATTCTCAGAAACTAATTTCTGATGTGTGCTTTCAACTCACAGAGTTGAACCTGTATTTTGATAGAGCAGTATTGAAACAATCTCTTTGTATAATCAGCAAATGGACACTTGGAGCACTTTGAGGCCTATGGTGAAAACGAAATATCTTCACATGAAAACTAGACAGAAGCATTCTCAGAAACTTCTTTCTCATATATGCATTCAACTCACAGAGTTGAATATTCTTTTTGAAAGAGTAGTTTCGAAACTCTCTTTTTGTAGAATTTGCCAGTGGATATTTGGACAGCTTTGAGACCTTTGTTGTAAACATGATGTCTTCACATAAAAACTAGACAGAAACATTCTCAGAAACTTCTTTGTGACGTGTGTATTCAAATAACAGAGTTGAACATTTCTTTTGATAGAGCAGTTTTGAAAGACTCCTTTTGTAGAGTCTGCTAGTGGACATTTGGAGCACATTGAGGTCTATGGTGAAAAAGTAAATATCTTCATATAAAAACTAGAGAGAATCATTCTCAGAAACTACTTTTTGATGAGTGAATTCAACTCACAGAGCTGAATCTTTCTCTTGATAGAGCCGTTTTGAAACACTCTTTTTGTAGAATCTGCAAGTGGACATTTGGAGCGCTTTGAGGCCTATGGTGAAAAAGGAAATATCTTCACATAAAAACTAGACAGAAGCATTCTCAGAAACTTCTTTGTGATGTTTGCATTCAACCCACAGAGTTGAACCTTTCTTTTGATAAGGCAGTTTTGAAACACTCTTTTTGTAGAATCTGCAAGTGGATATTTGTAGCACTTTGAGGCCTATGGTGAAAAAGGAAATATCTTCAAAGAAAAACTAGACAGAAGCAATCTCAGAAAATTCTTTGTGATGTGTGCATTCAATTCACAGAGTTGAACCTTTCTTTTGATAGAGCAGTTTTCAAACTCTCTCTTTGGAGAATCTGCAAATGGGCATTTGGAGAGCTTTGAGGCCTATGGTGAAAAAGGAAATATCTTCACATGAAAACTAGACAGAAGCATTCTCAGAAACTGCTTTGTGATGTGTGCATTCAACTCACAGAGTAGAACGTTTCTTTTGATAAAGCAGTTTTGAAACACTTTTTTTGTAGAATCTGCAAGTGGACATTTGGAGCACTTTGAGGCCTATCGTGAAAAAGGAAATGTCTTCACATAAAAACTATATGGAAGCATTCTCAGAAACTTCTTTGTGATGTGTGCATTCAACCCACAGAGTTGAACCTTTCTTTTGATAAAGCAGTTTTGAAACACTCTTTTGGTAGAATCTGCATGTGGATATTTGGAGTGCTTTGAGGCCTATACTGAAAAAGGAAATATCTTAACAGAAAAACTAGACAGAAGCATTCTCAGAAACTACTTTGTGATGTGTGCATTCAACACACAGAGTAGAACCTTTATTTTGATAGAGCAGTTTTGAAACCCTCTTTTGTAGAATCTGGAATTCAGTATTTGCAGCACTTTGAGGTCTATGGTGAAAAAAGGAAATATCTTCAAATAAAAACTAGACAGAAGCATTCTCAGAAACTTCTTTGTGATATGTGCATTCAACTGACAGAGTTGAAACTTTCTTTTGATATAGCAGTTTTGAAACACTCTTTTTGTAGAATCTGCAAGTAGACATTTGGAGCTTTTTGGTGCCTTCTGTGAAAAAGGAAATATCTCCACATAAAAACAAGACAGAAGCATTCTCAGAAACTTCTTTGTGATGTTTGCTTTCAACTCACAGTCTTGAACATTCCTTTCATTAGAGCAGTTTTGGAACACTCTTTTTGTAAAATTTGCAAGTGGATATTTTGACCGCTTTGAGGCTTTCATTGGAAACCGGATATCTTTACATAAAAACTAGACAGAAGCATTTTCAGAAACTTCTTTGTGATGTGTGCATTCAACTCACAGAGTTGAACCTTTGTTTTGAAAGAGCAGTTTTGAAACACTCTTTGGTAGAATCTGCAGGTGGATATTTGGACAGCCTTGAGGTCTTCAGTGGAAATGTGAATGTCTTCACATGAAAACTAGACCGAAGCATTCTCAGAAACTTCTTAGTGATGTGTGCATTCAACTCACACAGTTGAAACTTTTTTTTGATAGATAAGTTTTGAAACACTCTTTTTGTAGAATCTGCAAGTGGATATTTAGAGCACATTGAAGCCTTCGGTTTAAACGGGAATATCTTCACATAAAAACTAGACAGAAGCATTCTCAGAAACTTTTTAGTGATGTGTGCATTCAACTCACAGAGTTGAACATTCCTTTTCATAGAACAGTTTCGAAACACTCTTTTTGTTTGTTTTTATGTGAGGATATTTTCTTTTCCACCGTAGGCCTCAAAGCATTCCAAATATCCACTTGCATATTCTTCAAAAGGAGGTTTTCAAAACTACTCTATCAAAAGAAATGTTCAACTCTGTGAGTTGAATGCACACATCACAAAGAAGTTTCTGAGAATGCTTCTGTCTAGTTTTTACGTGAAGATATTTCCTTTTCCACCATACGCCTCAAAGTGCTCCAAATATTCACTTTCAGATTCTACAAAAAGAGTGTTTCAAAACTGCCCAATCAAATGAAAGCTTCAACTCTGTGAGTTGAGTGCACACAACACGAAGAAGTTTCTGAGAATGCTTCTGTCTAATTTTTAAGTGAGGATATTCCTTTTCCAAAATAGGCCTCAAAGCACTCCAAATATCCACTTGCAGATTCTACAAAAAGAGTGTTACAAAACTGTTCTATCAACAGAAACATTCAACTCTGTGAGTTGAACGCCCTCATCACAAAGAAGTTTCTGAGAATGTTTCTGTCTAGCTTTTATTTAAAGATATTTCCTTTTCCACCATAGGCCTCAAAACACTCCAAATATCCACTTGCAGATTCTACAAAAAGTGGGTTTCAAAACTGCTCTATCAAAGGAAAGATTCAACCTTGTGAGTTGAATGCACACAACACAAAGGAGTTTCTGAGAATGCGTCTGTCTAGATTTTAAGTGAGGATATTTCCTTTTCCACCATAGGCCACAAAAAGCACTCCAAATATCCACTTTGAGATTCTACAAAAAGAGTGTTTCAAAACTGCTCTATCAAAAGAATGGCTCAACTCTGTCTGTTGAAAGCACACATCACAAAAAACTTTCTGAGAATGCTTCAGTCTACTTTTATGTGAATATATTTCCTTTTCCACCATAGGCCTCAAAGCACTCCAAATATCCACTTGCATATTCTACAAAAAGAGTGTTTCAAAACTGCTCAATCAAAGGAAAGTTTCAACTCTGTGAGATGAATGCACACAACACAAAGAAGTTTCTGAGAATGCTTCTGTCTAGTTTTTATCTGAAGATATTTCCTTTTCCAAAATAGGCCCCAAAGTGCTCCGAGTATCCACTTCTAGATCCTAGAAGAAGAGGGTTTTAAAACTGCTCTATCAAAAGAAAGTTTCAACTCTGTGAGTTGAATGCACACATCAGAAAGAAGTTTCTGAGAATGCTTCTGTTTAGTTTTTATGCGAGGATATTTCCTTTTCCACCATAAGCCTCAAAGCGCTCCAAATATCTGCTTGTAGATTCTACAAAAATAGTGTTTCAAAACTGCTCTATCAAATGAAAGTTCAACTCTGTTAGTTGAATGCACTCATCATGAAGAAGTTTCTGAGAATGCTTCTGTCTACTTTTTATGTGAAGATATTTTGTTTTCCACCAGAAGCCTCAAATCACTCCAAATATCCACTTGAAGATTCTACAAAAAGATTGTTTCAAAATTTCTCAATCAAAGGAAAGTTTCAACTCTGTGAGTTGAATGCACACAACATAAGAAGTTTCTGAGAATATTTCTGTCTAGTTTTTATGTGAGGATATTTCCTTTTCCACCATAGGCCCCAAAGAGCTCCAAATATCCACTTGCAAGCTCTACAAATAGAGTGTTTCAAAACTGTTCTATCAAAAGAAAGGTTCAATTCTGTGATTTGAGTGCACACATCACAAAGAAGTTTCTGTGAGTGATTCTGTCTGGATTTATGTGGAGATATTTTCTTTTCCAACATAAGCCTCATAGCGCTGCAAATATCCACTTGCAGATCCTGCAAAAAACAGTGTTTCAAAACCGTGCAATCAAAGGACATGTTCAACACTGTGAGTTGAATGCACACAAAACAAAGAAGTTTCTGAGAATGCTTCTGTCTGGTTGTTATGTGAGGATATTTCCTTTTCCACCATAGGCGTCAAATATCCCAAATAGCCACTTGCAGATTCTACAAAAGGAGTGTTTCAAAACTGCTCTTTAAAAAGAAAGTTTCAACTCTGTGAGATAAATGCACACATCACACAGAAGTTTCTGAGAATGCTTCTCTCTAGATTTTATGTAAAGGTATTTCTTTTTCCAACATATGCCTCAAAACGCTCCAAATATCCACTTGCAGATTCTACAAAAAGATTGTTTCAAAACTGCTTCATCAAAAGTAAATTTCAACTCTGTGAGTTCAATGTACACAACAGAAAGAAGTTTCTGAGAATGCGTCTGTCTAGTTTTTATGTGAGGATATTTCCTTTTTCACCATAGGCCTCAAAGCTCTCCAAATATCCACTTGCAGAGTCTACAGAAAGAGTGTTTGAATACTGCTGTATCAATAGAAATGCTCAACTCTGTGAGTTGAATGCAGTCATCACAAACAAGTTTTTGAGAATGCTTCTGTCTAGTTTTTATGTGAAGATATTTCCTCTCCAGCATAGGCCTCAAAGGGCTCCAAATATCCATTTGCAGATTGTAGAAAAAGAGAGTTTCAAAAAGGCTCTATCAAAAGAAAGGTTCAACTCTGTGAGTTGAATGCACACTTCACAAATAAGTTTCTGAGAAAGCTTCTGTCTAGTTTTTATGTGAAGGTATCTCCTTTTCCACCATTGGCCTCACAGCACACCAAATATCCAATTGCAGATTCCGGAGAAAGAGTGTTTCAAAACTGCTCTATCAAAAGAAAGGTTGAACTCTGTAGGTTCAATGCACATGTCACAAAGAAGTTTCTGAGAATACTTCTGTCTAGTTTTTATGTGAGGATATTTCCTTTTCCACCATAGGCCTCAATCTGCTCTAAATATCGACTTACAGATCCTACAAAAACAGTTTTTCAAAAATGGCTCAATGAAAGGGAAGGTTCCACTCTGTGAGTTGAATGTACACATCTCAAAGAAGTTTCTGAGAAAGCTTCTATCTAGTTTTTATGTGAGTATATTTCCTTTTCCTCCAAGGCCTCAAAATGCTCCAAATATCCACTTGCAGATTGAAGAAAAAGAGTGTTTCAAAACTGCTCTATCAAAACAAAGGTTCAAATCTGTGAGTTGAATGCACACATCACAGTAATGTTTCTGAGAATGCTTCTGTCTAGATTTATGTGAAGATATTTCCTTTTCCACCACAGGCCACAAAGTGCTCCAAATATCCAATTGCAGATTCTACAAAAAGAGATTTTTAAAGCTGCTCAATAAAGGAAAGGTTCAACCCTGTGAGTTGAATGCACACAACACAAAGGAGTTTCCGAGAATGCTTCTGTCTAGTTTTTATGTGAGGATATGTCCTTTTCCACCATATGCCTCATAGCGCTCCAAATATCCATTTGCAGAGTGTAGAAAAAGAGAGTTTCAAAACTTTTCTATCAAAAGAAAGGTTCAACTCTGTGAGTTGAAGGCACACATCACAAAGAAGTTTCTTCGAATGCTTCTGTCTAGATTTATGTGAAGATATTTCCTTTTCCACCATAGGCATCAAAGCGCTCCAAATATACACTTGCAGAGCCTACAAAAAGAGTGTTTCAAACTGCTCAATCAAAGGAGAGGTTCAACCCTGTGAGTTGAATGCACACAACACAAAGAAGTTTCTGAGAATGCTTCTGTCTAGTTTTTATGTGAGGATATTTCCTTTTCCACCATTGGCCTCACAGCGCTCCAAATATCCACTTGCAGATAATACAAGAAGAGTGTTTCAAAACTGAACTATCAAAGGAAACGTTAAACTCTGGGAGTTGAATGCACTCATCACAAAGATGTTTCTGCAACTGCTTCTGTCTAGTTCCTATGTGAAGATATTTCCTTTTCCACAATAGACCTCGAAGCGCTCTGAATATACACATGCAGATACTTCAAAAAAAGTGTTTCAAAGCTGCTCTGTCAAAAGAAAGGTTCAACTCTGTGAGTTGAATGCACACATCACAAAGTAGTTTCTGAGAATGCTTCTGTCTAGTTATTATGTGAAGATATTTCCTTTCCCACCATAGGCCTAAAAGCGCTCCAAATGTGCACTTGCAGATTCTACAAAAAGAGTGTTTGAAAACTGCTCTATCAAAAGAAAGGTTCAACTCTGTGAGTTGAATGCACACATCAGAAAGAAGTTTCTAAGATTGCTGCAGTCTAGTTTTTATGTGAGGATATTAACTTTTCCACCATTGGCTTCAAAGCACTCCAAATATCCACTTGCAGATACTACAAAAAGTGTGTTTCAAAACTCCTCAAGGTTCAACTGTGGGAGTTGAATTCACTCATCACAAAGAAGTTTCTGTGAATGATTCTGTCTAGTTCTTATGTGAAGATATTTCCTTTTCCAGTACATGCCTCAAAGCACTCCGAATATACACTTGCAGTCACTTCAAAAGAGTGTTTCAAAACTGTTCTATCAAAAGAAAGGTTCAACTCTGTGAGTTGAATGCACACATCACAAAGTAGTTTCTGAGAATGCTTCTGTCTAGTTTTTATGTGAAGATATTTCCTTTTCCACCGTAGGCCTAAAAGAGCACCAAATATCCACTTGCAGATTCTAAAAAAAGAGATTTTCAAAAAGGCTCTATCAAAAGAAAGGTTCAACTCTGTGAGTTCAATGCACACATTAGAAAGAAGTTTCTGAGAATGCTTCTGTCTACTTTTTACCTGAAGATATTTCCTTTCCACCATAGGCCTCAAAGCACTCCAAATATCCACTTGCAGATTCTGGAAAAAGTGTTTCAAAACTGCTCTATCAAAAGAAAGGTTCAACACTGTGAGTTGAATGCACACATCAGAAAGAAGTTTCTGAGAATGCTTCTGACTAGTTTTTATGTGAAGATATTTCCTTTTCCACCATAGGGCTCAAAGCGCTCCAAATATCCACTTGCAGATTCTATAAAAAGAGTGTTTCAAAACTGCTCTATCAAAAGAAAGGTTCAACTCTGTGAGCGGAATGCACACATCACAAACAACTTCTCAAGAATGCTTTTGTCTAGTTTCTATGTGAAAATATTTCCTTTCCCATCGTAGGCCTCAAAGCTTTCCAAATATCCACTTTCAGATTCTACAAAAAGAGTGTTTCAAAACAGCTCAATCAAAAGAAAGGTTCATCTCTCTGAGTTGAAGGCACACATCACAAAGACGTTTCTGAGAATGCTTCAGTCTAGATTTACATGAAGATATTTACTTCTAATCCAAAGGCCTCAATGTGCTCCAAATACTCACTTGCAGATTCTACAAAAACAGTGTTTTAAAACTGCTCCATTAAAGGAAAGGTTCAAGTCTGTGACTTGAATGCACACATTACAAAGAACTTTCTGAGAATGCTTCTGTCTAGTTTTTATGTGAGGATATTTCCTTATCCACCATAGGCCTCAAAGCGCTCCAAATATCCACTTGCAGATACTACAAAAATAGTGTTTCAAAACAGCTCTATCAAAGGAAAGGTTAAACTCTGAGAGTTGAAAATACTCATCACAAAGAAGTTTCTGCGAATGCTTCTGTCTAGTTCCTATGTGAAGATATTTCCTCTTCCACCATAGGCCTCAAAGCGCTCTGAATATACACTTGCAGATACTTCAGAAAGAGTGTTTCAAAACTACTCTATCAAAAGAATGGTTCAACTCTGTGAGTTTTAATGCACACATCAGAAAGAATTTCTAAGAATACTTCTCTCTAGTTTTTATGTGAGGATATTTCCTTTTCCACCATTGGCCTCAATGTGCTCCAAATATCCACTTGCAGATACTACAAAAAGAATGTTTCAAAACTGCTCAAGGTTCACCTCTGGCAGTTGAAGGCACTCATCACAAAGAAGTTTCTGCGAATGATTCTGTCTAGTTCTTATGATGTGAAGATATTTCCTTTTCCAGTACATGCCTCAAAGCACTCCGAATATACACTTGCAGTCACTTCAAAAGAGTGTTTCAAAACTGCTCAATAAAAGAAAGGTTCAACTCTGTGAGTTGAATGCACACATCACAAAGTAGTTTCTGAGAATGCGTCTATCTAGTTTTTATGTGAAGATATTTCCTTTTCCACTATAGGTCTAAAAGAGCACCAAATATCCACTTGCAGATTCTAAAAAAAGAGATTTTCAAAACGGCTCTATCAAAAGAAAGGTTCAACTCTGTGAGTTCAATGCACACATTAGAAAGAAGTTTCTGAGAATGCTTCTGTCTACTTTTTGCCTGAAGATATTTCCTTTTCCACCATAGGCCTCAAAGCACTCCAAATATCCACTTGCAGATTCTGGAAAAAGAGTGTTTCAAAACTGCTCTATCAAAAGAAAGGTTCAACACTGTGAGTTGAATGCACACATCAGAAAGAAGTTTCTGAGAATGCTTCTGACTAGTTTTTATGTGAAGATATTTCCTTTTCCACCATAGGACTCAAAACGCTCCAAATATCTATTTGCAGATCCTACAAAAAGAGTGTTTCAAAACTGCTCTATCAAAAGAAAGGTTCAACTCTGTGAGCGGAATGCACACATTACAAACAACTTCCTGAGAATGCTTTTGTCTAGTTTTTATGTGAAAATATTTCCTTTTCCACCATAGGCCTCAAAGCGTTCCAAATATCCACTTTCAGATTCTACAAAAAGAGTGTTTCAAAACAGCTCAAACAAAAGAAAGGTTCAACTCTGTGAAATGAAGGCACACATCACAAAGAAGTTTCTCAGAATGCTTCTGTCTAGTATTTATGTTTAGACATTTCCTTTTCCAGCTGTAGGCATCAAAGTGCTCCCAATTGCCTACCGATACTACAAAAATATTGTTTCCAAACTAGTCAATCAAAAGAAAGTTTCAACTCTGTGAGTATAACACACACATCACAAAGTAGTTTCTGAGAATGCTTCTGTCTAGTTTTTATGTGAAGATGTTTCGTTTTCCACCATAGGCCTCAAAGCTTTCCAATTATCCACTTGCAGATTCTACAAAAAGAACGTTTCAAAACTGTTCAATCAAAAGAAAGGTTCAACTCTGTGAGATGAATACACACATCAAAAAGAGGTCTCTCAGAATGCTTCTGTCTAGTTTTTATGTGAAGATATTTCCTTTTCAACTATAGTCCTTGAAGTGTTCCAAATATCCATTTGCAGATACTACAAAGAGTGTTTCAAAGCTGCTCAATCAAAAGAAAATTTCAGGAAATCAGGACCTGGCAGCCAAGATGGCTGAATAGGTACAGCTCCGTTCTACAGCTCCCAGTGTGAGCGATGTACAAGACGGCTGATTTCTGCCTTTCCTTCTGAGTTACTGGGTTCATCCAACTAGGGAACGCCAGACAGTGTGCGCAGGACAGTGGGTGCAGTGCACCTTGTGGGAGCCAAAGCAAGGTGAAACATTGCCTCACTCGGGAAGCACATGGTGTCAGGCAGTTCCCTTTCCTAGTCAAAGAAACGGGTGACAGACGGCACCTGGAAAATTGGGTCACTCCCACACTAATCCTGCACATTTCCGATGGGGTTACAAAATGGCACACCAGGAGATTATATCCCACACATGGCTCAGAGGGTCCTATGCCCATGGAGTCTCGCTGATTGCTAACACAGCAGTCTGAGATCAAACTACACCGTGGCATTGAGGCTGGGGGATGGGTACCCGCCATTGACCAGGCTTGCTTAAGCAAACAAAGCAGCCAGGAAGCTCGAACTTGGTGGAGCCTGCCACAGCTCAAGGAGGCCTGCCTGCCTCTGTAGGCTCCATCTCTGGGGGCAGGGTACAGACAAACAAAAAGACAACAGTAACCTCTGCAGGCTTAAATGTCCCTTTCTGACAGCTTTTAAGGGAGCAGTGGTTCTCCCAGCAAACAGCTGGAGATCTGAGAACGAGCAGACTGCCTCCTCAAGTGGGTCCCTGACCCCTGACCTCCGAGCAGCCTAACTGGGAGGCACCTCTCAGTAGGGGCAAGACTGACACCTCACATGGCCGGGTAATCCTCTGAGACAAAACTTCCAGAGGAGTGATCACACAACAGAATTTGTGGTTCATGAAAATCTGTTGTTCTGCAGCCACTGCTGCTGATACCCAGGCAAACAGGGTCTGGAGTGGACCTCTAGCAAACTCCAACAGACCTGCAGCTGAGGGTCCTGACTGTTAGAAGGAAAACTAACAAACAGAAAGGACATCCACACCAAAAACCCATCTGTACATCACCATCATCAAAGACCAAAAGTAGATAAAACCACAAAGATGGGGTAAAAACAGAGCAGAAAAACTGGAAACTCTATAAAGCAGAGTGCCTCTCCTCCTCCAAAGGAATGCAGTTCCTCACCAGCAATGGAACAAAGCTGAATGGAGAATGACTTTGACGAGTTGAGAGAAGAAGCCTTCAGACGATCAAATTACTCCGAGCTACAAGAGAACATTCAAACCAAAGGCAAAGAAGTTAAAAACTTTGAAAACAATTCAGATGAATGTATATCTAGAATAACCAATACAGAGAAGTGCTTAAAGAAGCCGATGGAGCTGAAAGCCAAGGCTCGAGAACTACATGAAAAATGCAGAAGCCACAGGAGATGATGCGATCAACTGGAAGAAAGGGTATCAGTGATGGAAGAAGAAATGAATGAAATGAAGTGAGAAGGGAAGTTTAGAGAACAAAGAATAAAAACATATGAACAAAGCCTCCAAGAAATATGGGACTATGTGAAAAGACCAAATCTGCATCTGATTGGTGTACCTGAAAGTGACGGGGAGAATGGAACCAAGTTGGAAAACACTCTGCAGGATATTATCCAGGAGAACTTCCCCAATCTAGAAAGGCAGGCCAACATTCACATTCAGGAAATACAGAGAACACCACAAAGATACTACTCAAGAAGGGCAACTCCAAGACACATAATTGTCACATTCACCAAAGTTGAAATGAAGGAAAAAATGTTAAGTGTAGCCAGAGAGAAAGGTCGGGTTACCCACAAAGGGAAGCCCATCAGACTAACAGCGGATCTTGGCAGAAACTCTAATAGCCAGAAGAGAGTGGGGGCCAATATTCAACATTCTTAAAGGAAAGAATTTTCAACCCAGAATTTCATATCCAGCCAAACTAAGCTTCATAAGTGAAGGAGAAATAAAATCCTTTACAGACAAGCAAAGGCTGAGATATTTTGTCACCACCAGGCCTGCCCTAAAAGAGCTCCTGAAGGAAGCACTAAACATGGAAAGGAACAACTGGTAGCAGCCACTGCAAAATCCTGCCAAATTGTAAAGACCATCTAGGCTAGGAAGAAAGTTCATCAATTAACGAGCAAAATGACCAGCTAAAATAATAATGACAGGATTAAATTTACACATAACAATATTAACTTTAAATGTAAATGCACTAAATGCTCCAATTAGAAGACAAAGACTGGCAAATTGGATAAAGAGTCAAGACCCATCAGTGTGCTGTATTCAGGAAACCCATCTCATGGGCAGAGACACACATAGACTCAAAATAAAAGGATGGAGGAAGATCTACCAAGAAAATGGAAAACAAAAAAAGGCAGAGGTTGCAATCCTAGTCTCTGAATAATCAGACTTTAAACCAACAAAGATCAAAAGAGACAAAGAAGGCCATGACATAATGGTAAAGGAATCAATTCAACAAGAAGAGCTAACTATCCTAAATTTATATGCACCCAATACAGGAGCACCCAGATTCATAAAGCAAGTCCTGAGTGACCTATAAAGAGACTTAGACTCCCACAAAATAATAATGGGAGACTTTAACACCCCACTGTCAACATTAGACAGATCAATGAGACAGAAAGTTAACAAAGATACCCAGGAATTGAACTCAGCTCTGCACCAAGCGGACCTAATAGACATCTACAGAACTCTCCACCTCAAATCAACAGAATATACATTTTTTTCAGCACCACACCACACCTATTCCAAAATCTACCACATAGTTGGAAGTAAAGCATACCTCAGCAAATGCAAAATAACAGAAATTATAACAAACTGTCTCTCAGACCACAGTGCAATCAAACTAGAACTCAGGATTAAGAAACTCACTCAAAACCGCTCAAATACATGAAAACTGAACAACCTGCTCCTGAATGACTACTGGGTACATAACGAAATGAAGGCAGAAACAAAGATGTTCTTTGAAACCAATGAAAACGAAGACACAACATACCAGAATCTCTGGGACACATTCAAAGCAGTGTGTAGCGTAAAATTTGTAACACTAAATGCTCACAAGAGAAAGCAGGAAACATCCAAAATTGACACCCTAACATCACAATTAATAGAACTAGAAAAGCAAGAGCAAACACGTTCAAAAGCTAGCAGAAGGCAAGAAATAACTAACATCAGAGCAGAACTGAAGGAAATAGAGACACAAAAAACTCTTCAAAAACTTAATGAATCCAGGAGCTGGTTTCGTGAAAAGATCAACAAAATTGACAGACCACTAGCAAGACTAATAAAGAAAAAAAGGAAGAAAAATCAAATAGACGCAATAAAAAATAATAAAGGGGATATCACCACTGGTCCCACAAAAATACAAACTACCATCAGAGAATACTACAAACACCTCTTCACAAATAAACTGGAAAATCTAGAAGAAATGGATAAATTCCTACACATACACCCTCCCAAGACTAAACCAGAAAGAAGTTAAATCTCTGAATAGACCAGTAACAGGCTCTAAAATTGTGGCAATAATCAATAGATTACCTACCAAAAAGAGTCCAGGACCAGATGGATTCACAGCCGAATTCTCCCAGAGGTACAAGGAGGAACTGGTACCATTCCTTCTGAAACTATTCCAATCAATAAAAAAAGAAAGAATCCTCTCTAACACATTTTATGAGACCAGCATCATCCTGATACCAAAGACGGGCAGAGACATAACCAAAAAAGAGAATTTTAGACCAATATCCTTGATGAACATTGATGCAAAAATCCTCAATAAAATACTAGCAAACAGAATCCAGCAGCACGTCAAAAAGCTTATCCATCATGATCAAGTGGACTTCATCCCTGGGGAGCAAGCCTGGTTTAATATATGCAAATCAATAAATGTAATCCAGCATATAAACAGAACCAAAGACAAAAACCACATGATTATCTCAATAGATACAGAAAAGACCTTAGACAAAATTCAACCATCCTTCATGCAAAAAACTCTCAATAAATTAGGTATCAATGGGACGTATCTCAAAATAATAAGAGCTATCTATGACAAACCCACAGCCAATATCAAACTGAATGGACAAAAACTGGAAGCGTTTCCTGTGAAAATTGGCACAAGACAGGGATGCCCTCTCTCACCACTTCTATTCGACATAGTGTTGGAAGTTCTGGCAAGGGAAATTAGGCAGCAGAAGGAAATAAAGTTTATTCAACTAGGAAAAGAGGAAGTCAAATTGTCCCTGTTTGCAGACGACATGATTGTATATCTAGAAAACCCCATTGTCTCAGCCCCAAATCTCCTTAAGCTGATAAGCAGCTTCAGCAAAGTCTCAGGATACAAAATCAATGTACAAAAATCAGAAGCATTCTAACACACCAATAACAGACAAACAGAGAGCCAAATAATTAGTGTACTCCCATTCACAATAGCTTTAAAGAGAATAAAATACCTAGTAATTCAACTTACAAGCGATGTGAAGGACCTCTTCAAGGAGAACTACAAACCACTGCTCAATGAAATAAAAGAGGATACAAACAAATGGAAGAACATTCCATGCTCATGGGTAGGAAGAATCAATATCATGAAAATGGCCATACTGCCCAAGGTAATTTACACATTCAATGTCGTCCCCATCAAGCTACCAATGACTTTCTTCACAGAATTGGAAAAACCACTTTAAAGTTCAAATGGAAATACTCTTTTTATAGTACCTGCAAATGGATATTTGGAGTGTTATGAGGCCTATGGTGGAAAGGGATGTATCTTCACATAAAAACTAGACAGAAGCATTCTGAGAAACTTCTTTGTGATGTGTGCATTCATCTCACAGAGTTGTACCTTTCTTTTGATTGGGCACTTTGGGACCACTCTTTTTGTAGAATCTGCAAATGGATATTTGGAGCACTTTCTGGCTTATGGTAGAAAAGGAAATATCTTCACATCAAAACCGGACAGAAGCATTATCAGAAACTTCTTTGTGATGTGTGCATTCAACTCACAGTGGTGAACCTTTCTTTTGATTGATCAGTTTGGAAACACTCTTTTTGTGGTAACTGCAAATGGATATTTGAAGTGCTTTGAGGCCTACAACTGAAAAGGAAATATCTTCACATAAAAACTAGACAGAAGCATTCTGAGAATGTTCTTTGTGATGTTTGCATTCATCTCACAGAGTTGAAACTTTCTTTTGACTGAGCAGTTTTGAAACACTCTTTTTGTAGAATCTGCAAGTGGATATTTGGAGCGCTTTGAGGGCTATGGTGGAAAAGAAAATATCTTCACATAAAAACTAGACAGAAGCATTCTCAGAAGTTTCTTGGGATTCGTGCATTCAAGTAACAGAGTTGAACCTTTTTTTTGATTGAGCAGTTTGGAAACACTCTTTTTGTAGTATCTACAAATGGTTATTTGGAGTGCTTTTTGGCTTGTAGCAGAAAAGGAAATATCTTCACATAAAAACTAGATGGAAGCATTCTCAGAACCTTCCTGGTAATGTGTGCATTCATCCCACGGAGTTGAAGATTTCTTTTGACTGAGCAGTTTTGAAACACTCTTTTTGTAGTGTCTGCAAATGGATATTTGGAGTGCTTTGAGGCCTATAGCTGAAAAGGAAATATCTTCACATAAAAACTAGACAGAAGCATTCTCAGAAACTTCTTTGTGAGGTGTGCATTTAACTAACGGAGTTGAACCATTCTTTTGATGGAGCTGTAGGGAAATACTCTTTATAGTATGTATCTTCAAATGTATATTTTGAACCCTTAGAGGCCTATAGCTGAAAAGGAAAAAATCTTCATATAAAAACTAGACAGAAGTGTTTGAGAAACTACTTTGTGATGTGTGCATTCATCTCACATAGTTGAACTTTTATTTTCATTGAGCTGTTTTGAAACAAACTTTCTGTAGAATCCGCAAGTGGATATTTGGAGTGCTTTGAGGCCTAAGGTGGAAAAGGAAATATCTTCATACAAAAACTAGACAGAAGCATTCTCAGAAACTTCTTTGTGATGTGTGCATTCAACTCACAGAGTTGCACCTTTCTTTTGATTGAGCAGTTTGGAAACACACTTTTTGTAGTATCTGCAAGTGGATATTTGGGAGTGCTTTGAGGCCTATAGTTGAAAAGGAAATATCTTTGCATAAAAACTAGATGGAAGCATTCTCAGAACCTTTGTGGTAATGTGTGCATTCATCACACAGAGTTGAAGATTTCTTTTGATTGAGCAGCTTCAAACACTCTTTTTGTAGTATCTGCAAATGGATATTTGGAGTGCTTTGAGGCCTATAGCTGAAAAGGAAATATCTTCACACAAAAACTAGACAGAAGCATTCTCAGAAACTACTTTCTGATGTGTGCATTCAACACAGAGAGCTGAAGCTTTGATTGAGTAGTTTGGAAACACTCTTTTTGTAGTTTCTGTAAAAGAATATTTGGAGTGCTTTGAGTCCTATAGCTGAAAAGGAAGTATCTTCACATAAAAACTAGACAGAAGCATTCTCAGAAACTTCTTTGTGATGTGTACATTCAACTCACAGAATGGAATCTTTGCTTTGATTGAGGAGTTTGGAAACACTCTTTTTGTAGAATCTGCAAGTGGATATTTAGAGCGCTTGCATCCTCTTTTGGAAAAGGAAGTATCTTCAGATGAAAACTAGGCAGAAGCATTCTGAGAAACCTCTTTGTGATGTGTGCATTCAACTAACAGAGTTGAACCTTTCTTTTATTGAGCAGTTTTGAATCTCTGTTTTTGTAGAATCTGAAAGTAGATATTTCGAGCCCTTTGCACCCTATGGTGGAAAAGGAAATTTCATCAAATAAAAACTGCACAGAGGCAATCAGAGAAACTCCTTTGTGATGAGTGCATTCATCACACAGATTTGAATCTCTCTTTTCATTGAGCAGTTTTGAAACTCTTTTTATAAAATCTGGAAGTGGATATTTGGAGGGGTTTGAGGCCAATTTTGGAAAAGGAAATATCTTCACATAAAAATTACTCAAAAGTATTCTGAGAAACTTCTTTGCTATGTGAGCATTCAACTTACAGAGTTGAAGCTACATTTTGATTGATCAGTTTTCAATCTCTCTTTTCACAGAGTCTGCAAGTGGAGATTGGGAGTGCTTTGAGGCCTAATGTGGAAAAGAAAATATCTTCACATAAAAACTACACATAAGCATTCTGAGAAACTTCTTTGTGATGTGTGCATTCAATGCACACCATCGAACCTATCTTTTGATTGAGCAGTTTTGCATCTCTCTTTTGCAGAATCTGCAAGTGGATACTTGAAGAGCTTTGATGTATATTGTGGATCAGGAAATATCTTCACATAAAAACAACACAGAAGAAATTCTGAGAAACTTCTCTGTGATGTGTAAATTCAACTCACAGAATTGAACCTATCTTTTGATTGAGCAGTTTGGAAACACTCTTATTTTAGAATCTACAAGAAGATATTTGTACCGCTTTGTAGCCTATTGTGGAAAAAGAAATATCTTCCCATAAAAACTACACAGTAGAATTCTGAGTAACTTCTTTGTGATGTGTGCATTCATCTCACAGAGTTGATCATGTCCTTTCATTGAGCAGCTTCGAAACACTGTTTCTGTAGAATCTGCAAGTGGATATTTGGAGTGCTTTGGGGCCCATGGTGGAAAAGGAAATATCTTCACATAAAAACTACACAGAAGCGTTCTGAGAAACCTCTTTGTGTGGTGTGCTTTCAACACACAGAGTTGAACATATCTTTTGACTGAACAGTTTTGAATCTCTCTTTTTGTAGAATCTGCAAGTGGATCTTTGGAGTCCTTTGCAGCCCATGGTGGAAAAGGAAATATCTTGAAATAAAAACTACACAGAAGCATTCTGAGAAGCTTCTTAGTGATGTGTGCATTCTTCTCACAGGGCTGAAATTATCTTATGATTGAGTAGTTTTGAAACACTCTTATTGAAGAATCTGCAAGTGGGTATTTGGAGTGCTTTGAGGCCTACTGTGGAAAAGGAAATATCTTCACATAAAAACTAGACAGAAGCATTCTCAGAAACTTCTTTGTGATGCCTGCATTCATCTCACAGAGTTGATCTTTTGATAGAGCAGTTTGGAAACAGTCTTTTTGTAGTATCTGCAAATGGATATTTGGAGTGCTTTGAGGCCTATTTTGAAAAGGACATATCTTGAAACGAAAACTAGACAGAAGCATTCTGAGAAACTGTTTTGTGATGTGTGCATTCAACTAACAGAGTTTAACCTTTCTTTTGATTGGGAAGTTTTGAAACAGTCTTTTTGTAGAATCTGCAAGAGGATACTTAGAGTGTTTTGAGGCCTATGGTGGAAAAGGGAATATCTTCGCATAAAAACTAGACAGAAGCATTCTGAGATACTTCTTTGTGATGTGTGCATTCATCTCATAGAGTTGAATCTTTCTTTTGATTGAGCAGTTTTGAAACACTCTTTTTGTAGAATCTGCAAGTGGGTATTTGGGGCGTTTAGTGGGCTATGGCAGAAAAAATATATCTTCACATAAACACTAGACAGAAGCATTATGAGAAACTTTTCTGTGATGTGTGCTTTCAACTAACAGAGTTGAACCTTTCTATTGATTGAGTAGTTTTGAAACACTCTTTTTGGAGAATCTGCAAGTGGATATTTGTAGTGGTTGGTGGCCTATGGTGGAAAATGAAATATCTTCACATAAAAACTAGACAGAAGCCTTCTGAGAAACCTGTTTGTGATGTCTGCATTCATCTCATAGAGTTGAATCTTTCTCTGGATTGAGCAGTTTTGAAGCACTCTTTTTGTAGAATCTGCACGTGGGTATTTGGGGTGCTTAGTGGGCTATGGCAGAAAAGAAAATATCTTCACATAAACACTAGATAGAAGCATTATATGAGAAAATTCTCTGTGATGTGTGCATTCAACTCACAGAGTTGAACCTTCCTATTGATTGAGCAGTTTTGAAACACTCTTTTTGCAGAAAATGCAAGTGGATATTTGTAGTTCTTGGTTGCCTATGGTGGAAAATGAAATATCTTCTCATAAAAACTAGACTGAATCATTCTCAGAAACTTCTTTGTGATATCTGCATTCATCTCACAGAGTTGAACTTTTGATAGAGCAGTTTGGAAACAGTCTTTTTGTAGTATCTGCAAATGGATATTTGGAGTGTTTTGAGGCCTATTTTGAAAAGGTCATATCTTCAAATGAAAACTAGACGGAAGCATTCTGAGAAATTGCTTTGTGATGTCTGCATTCAAATAAAAGAGTTTAAACTTTGTTTTGATTGAGAAGTTTTGAAACACTCTTTTTGTAGATTCTGCAAGAGGATATTTGGAGTGCTTTGAGGCCTATGGTGGAAAAGGGAATATCTTCACATAAAAACTAGACAGAAGCATTCTGAGATACTTCTTTGTGATGCATGCATTCTCATAGAGTTGAATTTTTCTTTGGATTGAGCAGTTTTGAAACACTCTTTTTGTAGTATCTGCAAGTGGGTATTTGGGGCGTTTAGTGGGCTATGGTGGAAAAAAATATCTTCACATAAATACTATACAGAAGCATTATGAATAACTTCTCTGTGATGTTTGCATTCAACTCACAGAGTTGAACTTTTCTGTTGATTGAGCAGTTTTGAAATACTCTTCATGTAGAATCTGCAAGTAGATATTTGTAGTGTTTGGTGGCCTATGGTGGAAAATGAAATATCTTCACATAAAACTAGACAGAAGCCTTCTGAGAAACTTCTTTGTGATGTCTGCATTCATCTCACAGAGTTCAATCTTTCTGTGTATTGAGCAGTTTTGAAACACTCTTTTTGTAGAATCGGCAAGTGGGTATTTTGGGCGCTTAGTGGGCTATGGCAGAAAAAAAAATATCTTCACATAAACACTAGACAGAAGCATTATGAGAAACTTCTCTGTGATGTGTGCATTCATCTCACAGAGATGAAACTTTCTATTGATTGAGCAGTTTTGAAACCCTCTTTTTGTAGAATCTGCAAGTGGATATTTGTAGTGCTTGATTGCCTATTTTGGAAAATAAAATATCTTCACATAAAAACTAGACAGAAACCTTCTGAGAAACTTATTTGAGATGTCTGCATTAATCTCATAAAGTTGAATCTTTCTTTTGGATTGAGCAGTTTTGGAACACTGTTTTTGTAGAATCTGCAAGTGGGTATTGTGGGCGCTTAGTGGGCTATGGAGGAAAAAAATATCTTCACGTAAACACTAGACAGAAGCATTATGAGAAACTTCTCTGTGATGTGTGCATTCAACTCACAGAGATGAAACTTTCTATTGATTGAGCAGTTTTGAAACCCTCTTTTTGTAGAATCTGCAAGTGGATATTTGTAGTGCTTGAATGCCTATTTTGGAAAATAAAATATCTTCACATAAAAACTAGACAGAAACCTTCTGAGAAACTTCTTTGAGATGTCTGCATTAATCTCATAATGTTGAATCTTTCTTTGGATTAAGCAGTTTTGGAACACTGTTTTTGTAGAATCTGCAAGTGGGTATTGTGGGCGCTTAGTGGACTATGGAGGAAAAAAATATCTTCACGTAAACACTAGACTGAAGCATTATGAGAAACTTCTCTGTGATGTGTGCATTCAACTCACAGAGATGAACCTTTCTATTGATTGAGCAGTTTTGAAACACTCTTTTTGTAGAATCTGCAAGTGGATATTTGTAGTGCTTGGTGTCCTATGGTGGAAAATGAAATATCTTCACATAAAAACTAGACAGAAGCATTCTCAGAATCTTCTTTGTGATGTCAGCATTCATCTCACAGAGTTGAACTTTTGATAGACCAGTTTGGAAACAGTATTTTTGTAGTATCTGCAAATGGATATTTGGAGTGCTTTGAGGCCTATTTTGAAAAGGACATATCTTGAAATGAAAACTAGACAGAAGCATTAGGAGAAACTGCTTTGTGATGTGTCCATTCAACTAACAGAGTTTCACCTTTCTTTTGACTGAGAAGTTTTGAAACAGTCTTTTTGTAGAATCTGCAAGAGGATATTTGGAGCGCTTTGAGGCCTATGGTGGAAAAGGGAATATCTTCACACAAAAACTAGACAGAAGCATTCTGAGAAACTTCTTTGTGATGCGTGCATTTGTCTCATAGAGTTGAATGTTTCTTTGGATTGAGCAGTTTTGAAACACTCCTTTTGTAGAATCTCCAAGTGGGTATTAGTGGTGCTTGGTGGACTATGATGGAAAATGAATTATCTTCACATGAAAACTAGACAGAAGCCTTCTGAGAAACTTATTTTTGATGTCTGCATTCATCTCTTAGAGTTCAATCTTTCTTTAGATTGAGCAGTTTTGAAACACTCTTTTTGTAGAATCTGCACGTGGGTATTTAATGCGCTTAGTGGGCTGTGGCAGAAAAACATTATCCTCATGTAAACACTAGACAGAAGCATTATGAGAAACTTCTCTGTGATGTGTGCATTCAACTCACAGAGTTGAACCTTTTTATTGATTGAGCAGTTTTAAAACACTCTTTTTGTAGAAGCTGCTAGTTGATATTTGTAGTGCTTGGTGGCCTATGATGGAAAATGAAATATCTTCACATAACAACTAGACAGAAGCCTTCTGAGAAACTTCTTTGTGATTTCTGCATTCGTCTCACAGAGTTGAACTTTTGATAGAGCAGTTTGGAAACAGTCTTTTGTAGTATCTGCAAATGGATATTTGGAGTGCTTTGTGGCCTATTTTGAAAAGTAAATATCTTCACATGAAAACTAGACAGAAGCATTCTGAGAAACTGCTTTGTGATGTGTGCATTCATCTCACAGAGTTGAACATTTCTTTTGATTGAGAAGTTTTGAACCACTCTTTTTGTAGAATCTGCAAGAGGATATTTGGAGCACTTTGAGGCCTATTGTGGAAAAGGGAATATCTTCTCATAAAAACTAGACAGAAGCCTTCTGAGAAACTTCTTTTTGATGCCTGCATTCATTTCATAGAGTTGAATCTTTCTTTGGATTGGGCAGTTTTGAAACACACTTTTTGTAGAATCTGCAAGTGGGTATTTGAGGCACTTAGTGGGCTGTGGTGGAAAAATACATATCTTCACATAAACACTAGAGAGATGCATTATGAGAAACTTCTCTGTGATGTGTGCATTCAACTCGCAGAGTTGAACATTTCTATTGATTGAGCAGTTTTGAAACACTCTTTTTGTAGAATCTGCAAGTGGATATTTGTAGTGCTTGGTGGGCTATGGTGGAAAATGAAATATCTTCACATAAAAACTAGAGAGAAGCATTCTCGGAAACTTCTTTGTGATGTCTGCACTCATCTCATAGAGTACAATCTTTCTTTGGATTGAGCAGTTTTGAAACACTCTTTTTGTAGTGTCTGCATGTGGTTATTTGGGGCACTTATTGGGCTATGGCATAAAAGAAAATATCTTCCCATAAACACTAGACAGAAGCTTAATGAGAAACTTCTCTGTGATGCTTGCTTTCAACTCACAGAGTTGAACATTTCTATTGATTGACCAGTTTTGAAACACTCTTTTTGTAGAATCTGCAAGTGGATGTTTGTAGTGCTTGGTTGCCTGTGGTGGTTAAGGAAATATCTTCACATAAAAACTAGACAGAAGCATTCTCAGCAACTTCTTTGTTATGTCTGCATTCATCTCACAGAGTTGAACTTTCAATAGAGCAGTTTGGAAACAGTCTTTTTATAGTATCTGCAAATGGATATTTAGAACGCTTTGCAGGCTATTTTCAAAAGGAAATATCTTCACATGAAAACTAGACAGAAGCCTTCTGAGAAACTTCTTTGTGATTTATGCTTTCATCTCACAGAGTTGAAACTTTCTTTTGATTGAGAAGTTTTGAAACACTCTTTTTGTAGAATCTGCAAGAGGATATTTGGAGCGCTTTGAAGCCTATGGTGGAAAAGGAAATATATTCACCTAAAAACTAGATGGAAGCATTCTGAGAAACTTCTTTGTGATGTGTGCATTCACCTCACAGATTTGAACCTTTCTTTTGATTGAGCAGTTTTGAAACACTCTTTTTGTAGAATCTGCAACTGGATATTTTCCGTGCTTTGAGGCCTATGGTGGAAAAGGAAACGTCTTCACATAAAAACTAGATGGAAGCATTCTGAGAAACTTCTTTATGATGTGTGCTTTCATCTCACCTTCCTTTCTACATTTCTTTTGAGGGAGCAGTTTGGAAACAGTCTTTTTGTAGTATCTGCAGAAGGATATTTGTGAGCTGTTTAAAGCCTATGGTGAAAAAGGAATTATCTTGACATAAAACTAGACAGAAGAATTCTGAGAAACTTCTTTGTGATGTGTAAATTCATTTCACATGGTTGAATCTTTCTTTTGTTTGAGCAGTTTGGAAACCCTCTTTTTGTAGAATATGCAAATGGATATTTGGAGCGCTTTCAGGCTTGTGGTGAAAAAGGATGTATCTTCACATAAAAACTAGAGAGAGGCATCCTGAGAAACTTCTTTGTGATGTGTGCCTTCACCACACAAAGCTGAACTTTTCTTTGCATGGAGCACATTGGAAACAGTCTTTTTGTGGTATCCACAGAGGAATATTTGTGACCAGTTTAAGGCTTATGTTGAAAAAGGAAATATCTTCACATAAAAACCAGACAGGAACATTCTGAGAAACTTCTCTGTGATGTGTGCATTCATCTCCCAGACTTGAAACTTTCTTTTGATTGAGCCGTTTTGAAACACTCTTTTTGTAATATCTGCAAATGGCTATTTGGAGTGCTTTCAGGTCTATGGTGAAAAAGGAAGTACCTTCACATAAAAACTACACAGAAGCATTCTGAGAAACTTCTTTGTGATGTGTGCACTCATCTCACAGAGTTGAATCTTTCTTTTGGTAGAGCAGTTTGGAAACAGTCTTTTTGTGCAATCTGCAAAGGGAGACTTCCGAGTCCTTTGAAGCCTATGGTGAAAAATAAGTATCTTCATATAAAAACTAGATAGACGAACTCTAAGAAACTTCCTTCTGTTGCTTCCATTCATCTCACAGAGTTGAAACTCACTTTTGCTTGAGCAGGTTGGAAACAGTCTTTTGGAAGAATCTGCAAAATGACATTTGGAGTGATTGAGGCCTATGTTGCAAAAGGAAATATCTTCACATAAAAAGAAGACAGAAGCATTCTGAGAAACGTCTTTGTGATGTGTGCATTCTTCTTACAGTGTTGAACCTTTCTTTTGATAGAATAGTTTGGAAACAGTTTTTTTGTAGTATCTGCAGAGGGATATTTCTGAGTGGTTTAATGTCTATGGTGAAAAAAGAAATATCTTAACTGAAAAACTAGACAGAAACATTCTGAGAAACTTCTTCATGAGGTGTGCGTTCACCTCACAGACTTGAAACTTTCTTTTGATTGAGCAGTTTGGAAACATTCTTTTTGTAGAATATGCAAATGGATTTTTGGAGTGATTTTAGGCCTATGGTTGAAAAGGAAATACCTTCACATTAAAACTAAGCAGAATCTTTCTGAGAAACTTCTTTGTGATGTGTTCATTCATCTCACAGAGTTGAAAATTTCTTTTGATTGAGAAGTTTGGAAACAGCATTTTGTACAATCTTCAAAGGGATAGTTCCAAGCCTCTTGAGACATACAGTGGAAAAGATGTATCTTCACATAAAAACAAGACAGAAGCATTCTGAGGAACTTCTTTGTGTTGTGTCCATTCATCTCACAGAACTGAACATTTCTTTTTATTGAGCAGTTTGGAAACAGTCTTTTTGTAGAATCTGCAAATGGATATTTGCTGTGCTTTGCAGCCTATGGTGAAAAAAGGAAATATCTTCACAAAAGAACTAGAAAGAAGCTTTCTGAGAAACTACTTTGTGATGTGTGCATTAGTCTCACAGGGTTGAACGTTTCTTTTGAATGAGCAGTTTGGAAATGGGCTTTTTGAAGAATCTGCAAATGAATATTTGGAGTGCTTTGAGGTCTATGGTGAAAAAGGAAATATATTCACATAAAAACTAGACAGAAGCATTCTGAGAAACTCCTTTGTGATGTGTGCATTCATCTCACAGAGTTGAGCCTTACTTTTGATAGAGCAGTTTGGAAACAGTCTTTTTACACAGTCTGCAAGGGGATATTTTCGAGTCATTTGAGGCCTATGGTGAAAAAGAAGTACCTTCACATAGAAAATAGACAGAAGAATTCTTTTAAACTTCTTTGTGATGTGTCAATTCATCTCACAGATTTGAACCTTTCTTTGATTGAGCAGTCTGGAAACAGTCTTTTTGTAGAATCTGCAAAGAAATATTTTTGAGCCCTTTGTGGCCTACTGTTAAATCAGAAATATCACATAAAAACGAGACAGAATCCTTCTGAGAAACTGCTCTATGATGTGTGCTTTCATCTCACAGAGTTGAACCTCCCTTTTGATTGAGCAGTTTGGAAACACTCTTTTGGAAGTATATGCAAATGGATATTTTGAGCGTTTTGAAGCCTATCGTGAAAAAGGAAATATCTTCACATAAAAAGTAGACAGAAGCATTCTGAGAAACTTCTTTGTGATGCATGCATTCATCTCACAGAGTTGAAACTTTCTTCTAGTGGAGCAATTTGGAAACAGTCTTTTTGTAGAATCTCCAAATGGATACTAGTGAGCTGTTTAAGGCCTATGGTGAAAAAGGGAATATGTTAACATAAAAACTAGACAGAAGCATTCTGAGAAACTTCTTTGTGATATGTGCATTCATCTCACAGAGTTCAAACTTTCTTTTGATTCAGTGCTTTGGAAACAGTCTTATTGCACAATCTGCAAAGTGATATTTGGAATGCTTTGGAGCCTATGGTGAAAAAGGAAATATCTTCACTTAAAAACTAGAAAGAAGCATTCTGAGAAACTTCTTTGCAATGTGTGCATTCATCTCACAGAGTTGAAACTTTCTTTTGATTGAACAGTTTAGAAACAGTCCTTCTGTTGAATCTGCAAATGGATATTTGTGAGCCCTTTGAGGCCTGTGGTGAAATAGGAAATATCTTCACTTAAAAACTAGAAAGAAGCTTTCTAAGAAACTTCTTTGTGATGTGTGCTTTCATCTCACAGAGTTGAACCTTTATTTTGATTGAGCAGTTTGGAAACAGTCTTTTGTAGTGTCTGCAAGTGGATATTCAGAAGGTTTTGAGGTCTACGGTGAAAAAGGAAATATCTTCCCATAAAAATTAGACAGAAGCATTCTGAGAAACTTGTTTGTGATGTGTGCTTTCATCTCACAGAGTTGTATCTTTCTTTTGATGGAGCAGTTTGGAAACAGTCTTTTTGTGATATCTGCAGAGGGATATTTGTGAGCGTTTTTACACCTATGGTGAAAAAGGAATTATCTTCACATAAAAGCTAGACAGAAGAATTCTGAGAAACGTCTTTGTGATGTGTGTATTCATCTCACACAGTTGAACCTTTCTTTTGATTGAGCAGTTTGAAAACCCTTTTTGTATAATCTGCAAATGGATATTTGGAGCACTTTGAGGCTTATGGTGTAAAAGGAAGTATCTTCACATAAAAACTAGACAGAAGCATTCTGAGAAACTTCTTTGTGATGTGTGCACTCATCTCACAGAGTTGAACCTTTATTTTGACGGAGCACCTTGGAAACAGTCATTTTGTAGTATCTGCAGAGGAATATTTGTGACCAGTTTAAGGCCTATGTTGAAAAAGGAAATATCTTCACATAAAAACTAGACAGAAGCATTCTCAGAAACTACTTTGTGATGTGTGCATTCAACTCACAGCATTGAACCTTTCTTTTGATTGAGCAATTTGGAAACACTCTTTTTGTAGTATCTGCAAATGGATATTTGTAGAGCTTAAAGGCCTATAGCTCAAAAGGGAATATCTTCACATAAAAACTAGACAGAAGCTTTCTGAGAAACTTCTTTGTGATGTGTGCATTCATCTCACAGAGTTGAACCTTTCATTTGATTGAGCAGTTTGGAAACAGTCTTTTTCTAGAATGTCTAAGGGAATATTTCTGACCAGTTTAAGGCCTATGGTGAAAAAGGACATATCTTCACATAAAAACTAGACAGAAACTTGCTGAGAAAATTCTTTGTAATGAAGGCATTCATCTCACAGAGCTGTCCTTTCTTTTGATTGAGCAGCTTGTAAACAGTCTTATTTAGGGTCTACAAAGGGATATTTCTGATTGGTTTCAGGCCTATGGTGAGAAAGGTAATATCTTTCAATAAAAACTAGACAGAAGCTTTCTGAGAAACTTGTTTGTCATATCTTTATTCATCTCTCAGAGTGGAAACTTTCTTTGGATTGAGCATCTTGGAAACAGTCCTTTTGTAGAATCTGCAAAGGGATATTTGGGAGCCTTCAAGGCCTATGGTGAAAAATATGATATCTTCACATAAAAAGTAGACTGAAGTTTTCTGAGGAACTTCTTTCTTATGTGGGGATTCTTCTCACTGAATTGAACCTTCCTTTTGATTGATCAGTGTGGAAACAGTCTTTTTATAACATCTGCAAAGTGATATTTGGGATCCCTTTGATTCCTAAGGTGAAAAAGGAAATATCTTCACATAAAAACTGCACAGAACTTTTCTGAGGAACTTCTTTGTGATGTGTGCATTCATCTCACAGAGTAGTAACTTACTTTTGATTGAACAGCTTGGAAAGAGTCTTTTTGTAGAATCTGCAAAGTGATATTTGAGAGACCTTTGAGGCCAATGGTGAAAAAGAAAATATCTTCAATTAAAAACTAGATAGGGGCTTTCTAAGAACCTTCTTTGTGATGCCTGCATTCATCTCACAGAGTTAAAACTTCCTTTTGATTGAGCAGTTTGGAAACAGCCTTTTTGTAGAATCTGCAAAGTGATATTTTGGAGTCTTTGAGGCCTATGGTGAAAAAGGAAATATCTTCACATAAACCCTAGACAGAAGCTTCCTGAGAAACTCCTTTGTAATGAGTGCATTCATCTCACAGGGTTCAACCTTTCTTTTCATTGAGCCATCTAGAGTCTGCAAAGGGATATTTCAGAGTGGTTTGAGGCTTATGGTGAAAAATGGAATATCTTCAAATAAAAACTATACAGAAGCTTTCTGAGAAACTTGTTTGTGATGTGTGCATTAATCTCACAGAATTGAAACTTTCTTTTGATTGAGCAGTTTGGAAACATTCTTTTTGTAGAATCTGCAAAGAGATAATTGGGAGCCCTTTGAGGCCTATTTTGAAAAAGAATTTTCTTCGTATAAAAACTAGACAGAAATTTCCTGAGAAACTCTTTTGTGAGGTGTGCATGCATCTCACAGAGTTGAAACTTTCTTTTCATTAATCAGTTTGGAAACAGTCTTTCTGTAGGATCTGCAAAGGGATATGTGGGAAAACTTTGAGGCCTATGGTGAAAACGGAAATATCTTCACATAAAAGCTAGAAAGAAGCTTTCTGAGAAACTTCCTTTTGATATGTACATTCAACACGCACAGTTGACCCTTTCTTTTGATTGAGCAGTTTGGAAACAGTCTTTTTGTGGAAACTGCAAAGGGATATTTCTGTGCGGTTTTTGACCTATGGTGAAAAAGTAAATGTCTTCTCATAAACACTAGACAGAAGCTTTCTGATAAACTTCTTTGTGATGTGTGCATTCATCTCACAGAATTGAACCTTCCTTTTGATTGAGCAGTTTGGAAACAGTCTCCTTGTCAAATCTGCAAAGGGATATTTGGGAGGCCTTTGAAGCCTATGGTGAAAAAGGAAATATTTTCACATAAAAACTAGACAGAAGCTTTCTGAGAAACTTCGTTGTGATGCTTGTATTCATCTGACAGAGTTGAAACTTTCTTTTGATTGAGCAGTTTGGAAACAGTCTCTTTGTAAAATCTGCAAAGAGATATTTGGGCATCCTTTGAGGCCAATAGTGAAAAAGAAAATATCTTCACATAAAAACTAGACAGAAGCTTTCTGAGAAATTTCATTGTGATGTGTGCATTCATATCACAGATTTGAAACTTTCTTTTGACTCAGCAGTTTGGAAACAGTCTTTTGTAGAATCTACAAAGGGATATTTCTGCATGGTTTTAGGTCTATGGTGAAAAAGGGAATATCATCACATAAAAACTAGGCAGAAGCTTTCTAAGAATCTTGTTTGTGATGTGCACATTCATCTCACAGATTTGATACATTCTTCTGATTGAGCAGCTTGGAAACTTTCATTTTGTAGAAACTGCAAAGGGATAATTGGGAGCACTTTGAGGCCTCTGGTGAAAGTCTTCCTTTTGATTGATCAGTGTGGAAACAGTCTTTTTATAACATCTGCAAAGTGATATTTGGGATCCCTTTGATTCCTAAGGTGAAAAAGGAAATATCTTCACATAAAAACTAGACAGAAATATTCTGAGAAACTTCTCTGTGGTGTGTGCATTCATCTCAGAGAGTTGAAACTTTCTTATAATTGAAGTTTGGAAACAGTCTTTTTGAAGAATCTTCAAAGGGATAATTCTGAGTGGTTTGAGGCCTATGGTGAAAAAGGAAATATCTTCATGTAAAAACTAGACAGAAGATTTCTGAGAAACTTCTTTGTAATGAATGCATTCATCTCACAGAGTTAAACCTTCCTTTTGATTGAGCAGTTTGGAAACCATCTTTTTTTAGATTCTGCAAAAGGATATTTCTGAGTGGTTTCAAGCCTATGATGAAAAAGGGAATATCTTCAAATAAAAACTAGACAGAATCTTTCTAAGAAAGTTGTTTGTCATGTGTTCATTGATCTCACAGAGTGGAAATTTTCTTTGGATTGAGCAGCTTGGAAACAGTCTTTTTGTAGAATCTGCAAAGGGATATTCGGGAGCCTTTTGAGGTCTATGGTGAAAAAGGGAATATCTTCACATAAAAACTAGAAAGAAGTTTTCTCAGGAACTTTTTCTGATGTGTGCATTCATCTCTCAGAATTGATCCTTTCTTTTGATTGATCAGTTTGGAAACAGTCTTTTTGTAAAATCTGCAAAGGGATATTTGGGATCCCTTTGATTCCTAAGGTGAAAAAGGAAATCTCTTCACATAAAAACTTGACAGCTTTCTGAGAAACTTTTTGTGATGTGTGCATTCATCTCACACAGTTGAACCTTTCTTCTGACTGAGCAGTTTGGAAACAGCCTTTTTTTGGAATATGCAAAGGGATATTTCTGAGTGTTTTGAGGCATATGATGAAAAAAGAAATATCTTCACATAAAAACTAGACAGAATATTTCTGAGAAACCTCTTTGTGATTGGTGTATTCATCTCACAGATTTGAAACTTTCTTTTGATTCAGCAGCTTGGAAACAGTCTTTTTGTAAAATATGCAATGTGATATTTGAGAGAGCTTGGAGGCCAAAGGTGAAATAGGAAATATCTTCACTTAAAAACTAGATAAGGGCTTTCTGAGAAACTTCTTTGTGATGCCTGCATTCATCTCACAGAGTTAAAGTATTCTTTTGATTAAGCAGTTTGGAAACAGACTTTTTGTAGAATCTGCCAAGGGGTACTTGGGAACCCTTTGAGGCCTATGGTAAAAAAGGAAATATCTTCACATAAAAGCTAGACAGAAGCTTCCTCAGAAACTTCTTTTAAATGAGTGCATTCATCTCACAGAGTTCAACCTTTCTTTTGATTGAGCAGTTTGGAAATCATCTTTTTCTGGAATCTGCAGAGGGATATTTCTGAATGGTTTGAGGCCTGCAGTGAAAAAGGAAATATCCTCATATAAAAACTAGACAGAAGCTTTCTGAGAAACTTCTTTGTGATGTGTGCATCCACCTCACAGATTTGAACTTTTATTTTGATTAAGGATTTTGGAAACAGTCTTTTTCTAGAATCTGCAAAGGGATATTTCTCAGCGGTTTGAGTCTTATGGTGAATAAGGAAATATGTTCACATAAAAACTAGACAGAAGCTTTCTTGTAAACATCTTATGATGTGTGCATTCCTCTCACAGACTTGAAACTTCCTTTTGATTGAGCAGTTTGGGAACAGTCTTTTGGTAGAAACTGCAAAGGGATATTTGAGTGCGCTTTGAGGCCTATGGTAGAAAATTAAATATCTTCACATAAAAACTAGAAAGAAGCTTTCTGAGAAACTTCTTTGTCATGAGTGCATTTATCTCCCAGGGTTGAAATTTCCTTTGATTGAGCATTTTGGAAACAGTCTTTTTGTGGAATCTGCAAGAGGATATTTGGGAGCCCTTCGAGGCCTATGGTGAAGAGGGAAATATCATCACATAAAAACTAGACAGAAGCTTTCTGAGAAACTTCGTTGTGATCCATGCACTCATCTCACAGAGTTGAACCTTTCTTTTGATTGAGCAGTTTGGAAACAGTTTTTTTGAGAAACTTCAAAGTGATATTTCTGAGCGGTTTGAGGCCTAAGGTGAAAAGAAGGAAATATCTTCATGTAAAAAATAAACATAAGCTTTCGGAGGAACTTCTTTTGATGTGTGCATTCATTTCAGAGAGTTGAACCTCTCTTTTGATTGAGCTGTTTGGAAACAGTCTTTTTCTAGAATCTGAAAGGGGATATTTGGGATCCTTTTGAAGCCCATGTTGAAAAAGGGAATATCTTCACATAAGAACTAGACAGAAGCATTCTGAGAAACTTCTTTGTGATGTGTGTATTCATTTCACAGAGTTGAACCTTTCCTTTGATTGAGCAGTTTCAAAACGGTCTTTTTCTAGAATCTGCAATGGGTATTTCTGAGCAGTTTGAGGCCTATGGTGAAAAAGGATATATCTACACATTAAAACTATACGGAAGCTTCCTGAGAAACTTCTTTGTGATATGTGCATTCATGTCACAGAGATGAACCTTTCTTTTGATTGAGCAGTTTGGAAACACTCTTTTTCTAGGATCTGCAATGGGTTATTTGGGAGCACATTGAGGCCTATTTTTAAAAAGGAATTATCTTCACATAAAAGCTACATAGAAATTTTCTGAGATGCTCTTTTGGGATGTGTGCATTCGTCTTGCAGAGTTGAACATTTCTTTTGATTGAGCAGTTTGGAAACAGTCTTTTGTAGAAACTGCAAAGTGAAATTTGAGGGCGCTTTGAGGCCTATGGTGAAAAAGGAAATATCTTCACATAAAAACTAGACAGAAGCTTTCTGAGAAATTTCTTTGTAATAAGTGTATTCATCTCACAGAGTTGAGATTTTCTTTTGATTGAGTAGTTTGGAAACAGTCTTTTTGTAATATTTTCAAAGGGATATTTCTGAGCAGTTTGAGGCCTATGGTGAAAATGGAAATATCTTCTCATAAAAACTGGGCAGAAGCTTTCTGAGAAACTTCTTTGTGATATACACATTCATTTCACAGAGTTGACCTTTCTTTTTGTTGAGCTGTTTGCAACAATCTTTTTCTAGAATCTGCAAAGGGATATTTGGGGGCACATTGAGACCTATGGTGAGAAAGGAAATATCTTCACATAAAAACAAGACAGAAACTTTTTGAGATACTCTTTTGTGATGTGTGCATTCATCTCACAGAGTAGAACCTTTCTTTTGACTGAGCAGTTTGGAAACAGTCTTTTGTAGAATCTGCAAAGTGATATTTTGAGGGTGTTTTGAGGCCTATGGTGAAAAAGGAAATATCTTCACATAAAAACTAGACAGAAGCTTTCTGGGAAACTTCTTTCTAGTGAGTGCATTCATCTCACAGAATTGAACCTTTCTTTTGATTGAGTAGTTTGGAATCATTCTTTTTCTAGAATCTGCAATGGGATTTTTGAGGGCGCTTTGAGGCCTATCGTGAAAAAGGAAATGTCTTCACATAAAAACAAGACAAAAGCTTTCTAAGAAATTTGTGATGTCTGTATTCAACTCTTAGAGTTGAACTTTTCCTTTGATTGAGCAGTTTGGAAACTTTCTACAGAATATGCAAAGGGATATTTGGGATCCCTTTGAGGTCTATGGTGAAAAAGGGAATATCTTTCCATAAAAACTAGACCGAAGCTTTCTGAGAAACTTGTTTGTGATGTGTGCATTCATCTCATGGAATTGAAACTTTCTTTTGATTGAGCAGTTTGGAAACAGACTTTTTGTAAAATCTGCCAAGGGATATTTCTGAGCATTTTGAGGCCTATGGTGACAAAGGAAATACCTTCATATATAAACTCGACAGAAGCTTTCTGAGGAACTCCTTTGTGATGCGTGCATTCATCTCACTGAGTTCAAACTTTCTCTTGATTGAGCATTTTGGAAACACTCTTTTTTGTAGAATCTCCAAAGGGATATATGGAAGCCCATTGAGGCCTATGGTGAAAAAGGAAATATCTTCATATAAAAACTAGACAGAAGTTTTCTCAGAACTTCTTTGGGATGTGTGCATTCATCTCACAGAGTTGAACCTTTCTTTTGATTGAGCAGTTTGGAAACAGTCTTTTTGTAGAATCTGCAAAGTGATACTTCTGAGCGATTTGAGGCTTATGGTAAAAAAGGAAATATCTTCAAATGAAAACTAGAAAGAAGCATTCTCCATAACTTCCTTGTGATGGGTGCATTCATTGGACAGAGTTGAACCTTTCTTTTGATTAAGCATTTTGGAAACAGTCTTTTTGTAGAATATGCAAAGGGATACTTTGGATCCCTTTGAGGCCTCTGGTGAAAAATGGAATATCTTCACATAAAAACTAGACAGAAGCTTTCTGAGAAACTTGTTTGTGATGTGTGCATTCATCTCACAGAATTGAAACTTTCTTTTGATTGAGTGGCTTGGAAACAGTCTTTTTGTAGATTCTTCCAAGGGACATTTCTGAGTGGTTTGAGGTCTATGTTGAAAAAGGAAATATCTTCACATAAAAACTAGACAGAAGCTTTCTGAGAAAGTACTCTATGATGTGTGCATTCATCTCACAGAGTTGAACCTTTCTTTTGATTGAGCAGCTTTGAAACTGTCTTTTTCTAGAATCTGCACTTTGAGGCCTATGGTGAAAAAGTGAATATCTTCACATAAATCTAGACAGAAGCTTTCTGAGAAAATTGTTTGTGATGCATGCATTCATCTCCAAAGGGAAATTTGGGAGCACTTTGAGGCCTATGGTGAAAAAGTAAATATCTTCACATAAAAACTAGGCAGAAGCATTTTGAGAAGCTTCTTTGGGATGTGTGCATTCATCTCACAGAGTTGAACATTTCTTTTGATTGAGCAGTTTGGAAACAGTCTTTTTCTAGAATCTGCAAAGGGATATTTCAGAGCAGTTTGAGGCCTATGGTGAATAAGGAAATAGCTTCACATAATAACTAGACAGAAGGTTTCCGTGAAACTTCTGTATGATGTATGCATTCAAACAGCAGAGTTGAACTTTCCTTTTGATTGAGCAGTTTGAAAAAGTCACTCTCTAGAATCTGCAAAGGGATATTTGGGAGCACTTTGAGGTCTAAGGTGAAAAAGGAAATATGTTCACATAAGAACTAGACAGAACCTTTCTGAGAAACTTCTTTGTGATGCGTGCATTCACCTCACAGGGTTGAACCTTTCTTTAGACTGAGCAGTTTGGAAACAGTCTTTGCAGAATCTGCAAAGCGATATTTGGATCCCCTTGTGGCACATGTTGAAAAAGGGAATATCTTCACATAAGAATTTGGCAGAAGCTTTCTGAGAAACTTCTTTGTGTTGTGTGCATTCATTTCACAGACTTGAAACTTTCTTTTGATTGAGGAGTTTGGAAAGAGTCTTTTTGTAGAATCTGCAGAAGGATGTTTCTGAGCATTTTGAGGCCTATGGTGAAAACCAAAATATCTTCATATAAAAACTGGACAGAAGCTTTCTGAGTAACTTTTTTATGATGTGTGCATTCGTCTCACAGAGTCGAACCCTTCTTTTGATTGAGCATTTTGGAAACAGTCTTTTTGTAGAATCTGCAAAGGGACTTTTTTGGGGCGTTTTTCAGCCTACGGTGAAAAAGGAAATAACTTCACATAAAAATTAGAAAGAAGCTTTCTGAGAAACTTCTTTGGGATGTGTGCATTCATCTCACACAGTTGAATCTTTCTTTTGATTTAGCATTTTGGAATCAGCCTTCTTGTAGAATCTGCAAAGGGATATTTCTGAGCGATTTGAGGCCAATGGTGAAAAAGGAAATACCTTCAAATGAAAACTAGAAAGAAGCATTCTGGGAAACTTCTTTGTGATGGGTGCATTCATCTTACAGTGTTGAACCTTTCTTTTGATTGGGCAGTTTGGAAACAGTTTTTGTAGAATCTGCAAAGGGATATTCTGGATCCCATTGAGGCCTATGGTGAAAAGGAGACTATCTTCCCATAAAAACTAGACAGAAGCTTTCTGAGAAACGTCTTTGTGATGTGTGCATTCATCTCACAGAGTTGAACCTTTCTTCTTTTAAGTAGTTTTTAAACAGTCTTTTTGTAGAATCTGCAAAGGGATATTTCTGAGTGGTTTGATGCCTGCAGTGAGAAAGCAAATATCTTCAAATAAAAACTAGACAGAAGCTTTCAGAGAAACTTCTTTGTGATGCGTGCATTCATTTCACAGAGTTGAACCTTTCCTTTGATTGAGCAGTTTTGAAACAGTCTTTTTCTAGAATGTGCAAAGGGATATTTCTGAGAGGTTTGACCCCTATGGTGAAAATGGATATATCTTCACATTAAAACTATACAGAAGCTTTCTGAGAAACTTCTTTGGGATGTGTGCATTCATCTCACAGAGTTGAAATTTCTTTTGATTTAGCAGTTTGTAAACAGTCTTTTTGTTGAATCTGTAAAGGAATATTTTTGATTGGTTTGAGGATTATGGTGAAAAAGGAAACACCATCACATAAAAACTAGACAGAAGCTTTCTGAGAAATTTCTTTTTGATGTGTGCATCCATCTCACAAAATTAATCCTTTCTTTTCATTGAACAGTTTGGAAACAGTCTTATTGTAGGATCTGAAAAGGGATATTTGGGATCCCATTGAGGCCCATAATGAAAAAGTGAATATCTTCACATAAGAACTAGACAGAAGTTTTCTGAGAAATTTCTTTGTTATGTGTGCATTCATTTCACAGAGTTGAACCTTTGTTTTGATTGAGCAGTTTGGAAACACTCTTTTCGTAGAGTCTGCAAAGGGATATTTGAGGGTGCTTTGAATCCTGTGGTGAAAAAGTAAATGTCTTCACGTAAAAACTAAACAGAAGCTTTGTGAGAAACTTCTTTGTGATGCGTGCATTTATCTCACAGAGTTGAAATTTTCTTTTGATTGAGGAATTTGGAAACAAATTTTTTGTAGAATCTTCAAACGGATACATGGGAACCCTTTGAGGAGTATGGTGAAAAAGGAAATATCTTCACATAAAAACTAGACAGAAGCTTTTGGAGAAACTTCTTTGTAATGAGTGCATTCATCTCACAGAGTTGAACCTTTCTTTTATTTGAGTAATTTGGAAATAGTCTTTTTCTATAATCTGCAAACAGATATTTCAGAGCGGTTTGAGACCTTTGGTGAAAAAGGGAATATCTTCACAAAAAACTAGGCAGAAGCATTCTGAGAAACTCCTTGGTGATGTGTGCATTCAACTCACAGAGTTGAACCTTACTTTTAATTGAGCATTATGGAAACAGTCTTTTTATAAAATCTACAAAGGGATATTTCTGATCGGTTTGAGGCCTATGGTAAAAAAGGGAATATCTTCACATAAAAACTAGACAGAATCTTTCTGAGAAACTTCTTAGTGATGTGTGCATTCATCTCATAGAGTTGAAACTTTCTTTTGATTAAGCAGTTTGTAAACATTCTTTTTCTAGAATCTACGATGGGTTATTTGGTAGCACTTTGTGGCCTATTTTAAAAAGGAATTATCTTCACATAAAAACTAGACAGAAATTTTCTGTAATACTCCTTTCTGATGTGTGCATTCATCTCGCAGATTCGAACCTTTCTTTTGATTTAGCAGTTTGGAAAAAGTCTTTTGTAGAATCTGCAATGTGATATTTGAGGGTGCTTTGAGGCCTATGGTGAAAAAGGAAATATCTTCCCATAAAAACTAGACAGAAGGTTTCTAAGAAACTTCTTTGTGATGCGTGCATTCATCTCACAGTGTTGAAATTTCTTTTGACTGAGCAGTTTGGAATCAGTCTTTTTGTAGAATCTGAAATGGGATATTTCTGAGCAGTTTGGGGCCTTTGGTGAAAATGGAAATATCCTCTCAAAAAACTAGACAGAATCTTTCTGAGTAACTTCTTTTTGATGTGTGCATTGAACTAACAGAGTTCATCCTTTCTTTTGAGCAGTGAGGACAGAGTCTTTTTGTAGAATCTTCAAAGGGATATTTGGGAGCCCTTTGAGGACTATGGTGAAAAATTAAATATCCTCATATGAAAACTAGACAGAAAGATTCTGAGAAACTTCTTTGTGATGTGTGCATTCATCTCACACAGTTTAACTTTTCTTTTGATTGAGCAGTTTGGAACCCATCTTTTTGTAGTATCTGCAAAGGGATATTTCTCAGTGATTTAATGCCTATGGTGAAAAAGGAAATATCTTCACATAAAAACTATAAAGAAGCTGTCTCAGAAAGTTCTTCTGATGAGTGCATTCATCTCACAGATTTGAGCCTTTCTTTTGATTGAGCAATTTGGAAAGAGTCTTTTTGTAGAATCTACAAAGAGTTATTTGGGAGCCATTTGAGGGCTATAGTGAAAAAGGAAATATGTTCACATAAAAACTAGACAGAATCTTTCTGAGAAACTTCTTTGTGTTGTGTGCTTTCATCTCAGAAAGTTGAACATTTCTTTAGATAGAGCAGTTTGGAAACACTCTTTTTTTAGAATCTGCACATGGATATTTGAAGTGCTCTGAGACCTATGATGAAAAAGGAAATATCTTCACATAAAAACTAAACAGAAGCAAACTAAACAGAAGCTTTCTGAGAAACTTCTTTGTGATATGCGCTTTCAACTCACAGATTTGAAGCTTTCTTTTGATTCAGCAGTTTGGAAACAGAATTTTCATGTAATCTGCACAGGGATATTTGTGAGCCCCTTATGGCCTATGGTGAGATAGGAAGTATCTTCACATAAAAACTAGACAGAAGCTTTCTGAGAAACTTCTTTGTGTTGCATGCATTCATCTAACAGATTTAAACCTTTCTCTTGATTGAGCCGTTTGGAAACCGTCTTTCTGTAGAATCTGCAAAGGGATATTTGGTATCACTTTGAGGCCCATGGTGCAAAAGGAAATATCTTCAAATTAAAAGTGGCCAGAAGCATTCTGAGAAACTTCTTTGTGATCTTTGCATTCATCTCACAGAGTTGAAACTTTCCTTTGAGTGAGCAGTTTGGAAACCGTCTTTTTGTAGAATCTACAAAGGGATATTTGGGAGAACTTTGAGGTCTATGGTGAAAAAGGAAATATCGTCACGTAAAAAATAGACAGAATCTTTGTGAGAAACTTCTTTGTGATTCGTGCATTCATCTCACAGAGTTGAACTTTCCTTTTTTTGAGCAGTTTGGAAACGGAGTTAAAACTTTCTTTTTTTATTTTTATTATTATTATACTTTAAGTTTTAGGGTATATTTGCACAATGTGAGGATTTGTTACATATGTATACATGTGCCATGGTGGTGTCCTGCACCCCTTAACTTGTCATTTAGCATTAGGTATATCTCCTAATGCTATCCCTCCCCCTCCCTTCACCCTACAGCAGTCCATGGAATGTGATCTTCCCCTTCCTGTGTCCATGTGTTCCCATTGTTCAATTCCCACCTATGAGTGAGAACATGCTTTGTTTGGTTTTTTGTCCTTGCGATAGGTTGCTGAGAATGATGGTTTCCAGTTTCTTCCACGTCCCTACAAAGGACATGAACTCATCATTTTTTATGGCTGCATAGTATTCCATGGTGTAAATGTGCCACATTTTCTTAATCCAGTCTATTGTAGTTGGACATTTGGGTTGACTCCAAGTGTTTGCTATTGTGAATAGTGCCACAATAAACATACATCTGCATGTGTCTTTATGGCAGCATGATTTATAGTCCTTTGGGTATATACCCAGTAATGGGATGGCTGGGTCAAATTGTATTTCTAGTTCTAGATCCCTGAGGAATAACCACACTAATTTCCACAATGGTTGAACTAGTTTACAGTCCCACCAACAGTGTAAAAGTGTTCCTTTCTCTCCACATCCTCTCCAGCACCTGTTGTTTCCTGACTTTTTAATGATCGCCATTCTAATGGGTGTGAGATGGTATCTCATTGTGGTTTTATTTACATTTCTCTGATGGACAGTGATGATGAACATTTTTTCATGTGTTTTTTGGCTGCATAAACACATTTTGGCTGCATTTTCTCTTTTTTTGAGAAGTGTCTGTTCATATCTTTCACCCACTTTTTGATGGGTTTGTTTGTTTTTTTCTTGAAAATTTGTTTGAGTTCACTGTAGATTCTGGATATTAGCCTTTTGTCAGATGAGTAGGTTGTGAAAATTTTCTCCCATTTTGTAGGTTGCCATTTTGTAGGTACACTCTGATGGTAGTTTCTTTCACTTCACAGAAGCTCTTTAAGTTTAATTAGATCCCATTTGTCAATTTTGGCTTTTGTCACCATTGCTTTTGGTGTTTTAGACATGAAGTCCTTGCCCATGCCTATGTCCTGAACGGTATTACCTAGGTTTTCTTCTAGGGTTTTTATGGTTTTAGGTCTAACATGTAAGTCTTTAATCCATTTTGAATTAATTTTTGTATAAGGTGTAAGGAAGGGATCCAGTTTCAGCTTTCTACATATGGCTAGCCAGTTCTCCCAGCACCATTTATTAAATAGGGAATCCTTTCCCCATTGCTTGTTTTTGTCAGGTTTGTCAAAGATCACATGGTTGTAGATATGTGGCATTATTTCTGAGGGCTCTGTTCTGTTCCATTGATCTATATCTCTGTTTTTGTACCAGTACAATGCTGCTTTGGTTATTGTAGACTTGTAGTACAGTTTGAAGTCAGGTAGCGTGATGCCTCCAGCATTCTTCTTTTGGCTTAGGATTGACGTGGCAATGCAGGCTCTTTTTTGGTTCCTTATGAACATAAAAGTAGTTTTTTCCAATTCTGTGGAGAAAGTCATTGGGAGCTTGATAAAATTATCTTTTGATTGAGCAGTTTGGAAACACTCTTTTTGTAGAATCTGCAAAGGGATATTTGGGAGCATTTTGAGGCCTATGGTGAAAAATGAAATATCTACACATAAAAAATAGACAGAATCTTTCTGAGAAACTTCTTTGTGATGCATGCATTCATCTCACAGTGTTGAACTTTCTTGGAGCAGTTTGGAAACAGTCTTTTCGCAGAATCTGCAAAGGAATGCTTCTGAGTGCCTTGAGGCCTACGATGAAAAAGGAAATATCTTCACATAAAAACTAAACAGAAGCTTTCTGATAAACTTCTTTGTGATGTCTGCATCCCTCTCACAGAATTGAACCATTCTTTTGATTAGAACAGTTTGGAAACAGTCTTTTTGTAGAATCTGCAAAGGGATATTTGGGAGCATTTCAAGTCCTAAGGTGAAAAAGGAAATATGTTCACATAAAAACTAGACAGAAGCTTTTTTAGGAACTTCTTTGAGATGTGTGCATTCATCTCACAGGGTTGAGCATTACTTTTGATTGAGCAGTTTGGAAAAAGTCTTTTTGTAAAATCTGCAAAGGGATATTTTGGATCCCTTTGAGGCCTATGGTGAAAAAGGAAATATCTTCACATAAAAACTAGACAGAAGTTTTATGAGAAACTTCTTTAGGATGTGTACATTCATCTCACAGCATTAAACCTTTTTTTTGATTGGGAAGTTTGGAAACAGTCTTTTTCAAGGATCTGCAAAGGGATATTTCTCAGTGTTTTGAGTCCTATGGTGAAAAAGGAATTATCTACACATAAAAACTAGACAGAAGTTTTCTGAGAAACTTCTTTGTGATGTGTGCATCCATCTCATAGAAGTGAAACTATCTTTTGATAGAGCAATATGGAAACAGTCTTTTTAAATAATCTGCAAAGGGATACTTGGGAGCCCTTCGAGTCCTATGGTGAAAAAGGGAATATCTTCACATAAAAACTAGGCAGAAGTTTTCTGAGCAACTTCATTTTGATGTGCACATGCATCTCACAGAGTTGAACCTTTCTTTTGATTGAGCAATTTGGAAACAGTCTTTTTGAAAAATCTGCAAAGTGATATTTGGGAGTTCATTGAGGCCTATGGTGAAAAAGGAAATGTCTTCACATAAAAACTAGAAAGAAGCTTTCTGAGAAACTTTTTTGTGATGTGTGCATTCATCTCACAGAGTTGAAACTGTCTTTTGGTTGAGCAGTTTGGAAACACTCCTTTTGTAGAATCTGCAAAGGGATATTTCTGAGCGGTTGAGGCCTGTGGTGAAAAAGGAAATATCTTCACATAAAACTAGGCAGAAATTTTCTGAGAAACTTCATTGTGATGTGTACATTCATGCACAGAGTTGAACCTTTACTTTGATTGAGAAGTTTCAAAACAGTCTTTTTGCAGAATCTGCAAGGGGACATTTGAGGGCGTTTTGAGGCCTACGGTGAAAAAGGAAATATCTTCACATAAAAACTAGACAGAAGCTTTCTGAGAAACTTTTTTGTGATGTGTGCATTCATATTACAGGGATGAACCTTTCTTTTGATTGGACATTTTGGAAACATTCTTTTTGTAGACTCTCCAAAGGGATATTTCTGAGTGGTTTGAGGCCTATGGTGAAAAAGGAAATATCTTCATATAAAAACTAGACAGTAGCTTTCTGTGAAACTTCTTTGTGATGTGTGCATTCTACTCACAGAGTAGAACTCTTCTTTTTTTTGAGAAGTTTGAAAATAACCTCTTTGAAGTATTCGCAAAGGGATATTTGGCGGCCCTTTGAGGCCTAAGGTGAAAAAGGAAAGACGTTCACATAAAAACTAGACAGATTTCTGAGAAACTTCTTTTTGATGCGTGCATTTATCTCACAGATTTGAAACTTTCTTTAGATAGAGCAGTGTGGAAACAGTCCTTTTGTAGAATCTGTAAAGGGATATTTGGGATCCCTTTGAGGATCATGTTTAAAAAGGGAATATCTTCACATTACAACTAGAGGAGCTTTCTCAAAAACTTCTCTGTGATGTGTTCATTCATTTCACGGAGTTGAATCTTTCTTTAATTGAGCAGTGTGTAAACAGTCTTTTTGTAGGATCTGCAAAGGGATATTTCTGAGTGGTTTGAGGCATATGGTGAAAAAGGAAATATCCTCATATAAAAATTGGACAGAACATTTCTGAGAAACTTCTTAGTGATGTGCACATTCATCTCACAGAGTTGAAACTTTCTTTTGAATGAGCAGTTTGGAAACAGTCTTTTTGAAGAATCTGCAAAGGGATATTCGAGGGTGCTTTGAGGCCTATGGTGAAAAAGGAAATATCTTCACATAAAGACTAGAGAGAAGTTTTCTGAGAAACTTCTTTGCGATTTGTGCATTCAACTCACAGAGATAAATATTTATTTGATTGAGCAGTTTGAAAACAGTCTTTTTGTAGAATCTGAAAAGGGATATTTGAGGGTGCTTTGAGGCCTATGGTGATAAAGGAAATATCTTCATATAAAAACTAGACAGAAGCTTTCTGAGAAGCTTCTTGGTGATGTGTGCATTCATCACACAGAGTTGAATCTTTCTTTTGATTGATGAATTTGAAAACAGTCTTTTTCTAGAATCTGCAAAGGGATATTTCTCAGGGGTTTGAGGCCTATGGTGAAAAAAGAAATACCTTCACATAAAATCTAGATAGAAGCTTTCTGAGAAATTTCTTCATCATGTGTGCATTCATCTCACAGAGCTGAACATTTCTTTTGACTCAGCAGTTTGGAAACAGTCTTTTTCAAGAATCTGCAATGGGATATTTCTCAGTGATTTGAGGCCTATGGTGAAAAAGTAATTATCTTCACATAAAAACTAGACAGAAGATTTCTGAGAAACTTCTTTGTGATGTGTGCATCCATCTCACAGAACTGAAAATTCCTTTGATTGAGAAATTTAGAAACAGTGTTTTTGAAGAATCCGCAAAGGGATATTTGAGAACCCTTCGAGGCCTGTGGTGAAAAAGGATATATCTTCGCATATAAACCAGACAGAACTTTTCTGAGCAACTTCTTTTTGATGTGCACATTCATCTCACAGAGTTTAACTTTTCTTTTGATTGAGCAGTTTGGAAACAGTCATTTCCTAGGATCTGCAAAAGGACATTTGAGGGTGTTTTGAGGTCTACTGTGACAAAGGAAATGTCTTCGCATAACAACTAGACAGATGCTTCATGAGAAACTCTTTGATGATGTGTATATTCATCTCAAAGAGTTGAACGTTTATTTTGATTGAGCAGTTTGGAAACAGTCTTTTTGTAGAATTTCCAAAGAGATATTTCTGAGTGGTTTGAGGCCCATGGTGAAAAAGTAAATATCTTCACATAAAAACTAGAACGAAGCTTTCTTTGAAACTTCTTTGTGATGGGTGCATTCAACTCACAGAGTATAACTTTTCTTTTGATTGAGCTGTTTGGAAATCATCTTTTTCTAGAATCCACAAAGGGATATTTGGGTACCTTTTTACACCTAAGGTGAAAAAGCAAATACGTTCACATAAAAACTAGACAGAAGCTTTCTGAGAAACTTCTTTTTGATGTGTGCATTCATCTCACAGAGTTGAGCCTTTCTTTAGATTAAGCAGTTTGGAAACAGACTTATTGTGGAATCTGCAAAGGGATATTTGGGATCGCTTTGAGGCGCATGTTGAAAAAGGAAATATCTTCACATTAGAACTAGACAGAAGCTTTCTGAGAAACTTCTTTGTGATGTGTGCATTCATTTCACAGAGTTGAAACTTTTTTTGATTGAGCAGTTTGTAAACAGTCTTTTTCTAGAATCTGCAAAGGTATATTTATGAGCATTTTGAGGCCTATGGTGAAAAAGGAAACATCTTCACTTAAAAATTAGACAGAAACTTTCTCAGAAACTTCTTTGTGATGTGTGCATTCATCTCACAGAATTGAAACTTTCTTTTTAAAGAGCAGGTTGGAAACAGTCTTTTTGTAGTATCTGCAAAAGGATATTTGTGACACCTTCTAGGCCTATGGTGAAAAAGGAAATATCTTCACATAAAAAAAATAGAAGCATTGTGAGGGACTACTTTGTGATGTGTGCATTCAGCTCACTGAGTTGAAACTTCCTCTTGATTGAACATTTTGGAAAGAGTCTTTTTGTAGAATCTGCAAAGGGATATTTGGGATGACTTTGAGGCCTTTGGTGAAAACAGAAATATCTTCACCTAAAAACTAGACAGAATCCTTCTGAGAAACTTCTTTGAGTTGTGTGTATTCCTGTCAGAGAGTTGAACCTTTCATTTCACTGGACAGTTTGGAAACAGTCTTTTAATAGAATCTGCAAAGGGATATTTCTGAGCTGCTTGAGGCCTATGGTGAAAAAAGATTTATCTTCACTTAAAAAGTAGGCAGAATCTTTCTGAGAAGCTTCTTTGTGATCTGTGGATTCATCTCATAGAGTTAAAATTTCTTTTGATTGAGCAGTGTGTAAACAGTCTTTTTATAGAATCTGCAAAAGGATATTTCTGAGCGGATTGAGGCCTATGGTGAAAAAGGAAGTATTTTCATAAAAAAAACTAGACAGAATCTTTTGGAGAAACTTCTTTTTGATGGTGCATTCATCTCACGGAGTTGAAACTTTCTTTTGATTGAGCAGTTTGGAGACCTTCTTTTTGTAGAATCTGCAAAGGGATATTTGAGGGTGCTTTGAGGCCTATGGTGAAAAGGAAAATATCTTCACATAAAGACCAGAAATAAGCTTTATGAGAAACTTCTTTGTGATGTGTGCATTCATCTTACAGAGATCAACATTTCTTTTGATTGAGTAGTTTGTAAATGGTCTTTTTGTAGAATCTGCAAAGGGATATTTGAGGGCGCTTTGAGGCCTATGGTGAAAAAGGAAATATCTTCACATAAAAAGTAGACAGAACCTTCTGAGAAACTTCTTTTTTGTGATGTGTGCATTCATCTCACAGAGCTGAACTTTCTTATCATTGAGCAGTTTGGAAACATTTTTTTTGTAGAATCTGCAAAGGAATATTTCTGAGCAGTTTGAGGCCTGTTGTGAAAAAGGAAGTATCTTCACATAAAAACTAGACAGAAGCTTTCTGAGAAACTTCTTTGTGATGTGTGCATCCAACTCATGGGATTGAACCTTATCTTTCATTGAGAGTTTTGGAAACAGTCTTTTTGTAGAATCTGCAAAGGTCTATTTGGGAGCCCTTCGAGGCCTGCGGTGAAAAAGGAAATATCTTCAGCTAAAAACTAGGCAGAAGGTTTCTGAGGAACTTATTTATGATGTACATAGTCATCTCACAGAGTTGAACCTTTCTTTTGATTGAGCAGTTTGGAAGTCGTCTTTTTGTAGAATCCGAAAAGGGATATATGTCAGTGATTTGAGGCCTATGGTGAAAAAGTAAATATCTTCAAATTAAAACTAGACAAAAGATTTCTGAGAAACTTCTTTGTGATGTGTACATTAATCTCACAGAGTTCAAACCTTCTTTTGATTGAGCAGCTTGGAAACAGTCTTTTTGACGAATCTGCAAAGGGATATTTGTGGGTGCTTTGAGGCCTATGGTGAAAAAGGAAATATCTTCAGATAAAAACCAGACAGAAGCTTTCTGAGAAACTCCTTTGTGATGCGTTTATTCATCTCACAGAAGTTAGCCATTCTTTTGATTGGAGAAAAAGGGAATACCTTCACATAAAAACTAGAAAGAAGCTTGCTGAGGAACTTCTTTGTGATATGTACATTCATCTCACACAGTGGAACCTTTCTTTTCATTGAGTAGTTTGGAAACAGTCTTCCTGTAGAATCTGCAAAGGGATTTTTGGAGTCCTTTGAAGTCCACATTGAAAAAGGAAATATCTTCACAACAAAACTATTCAGAAGCTTTCTGAGAAACTTAATTGTTATGTGTGGATTCATCTCACAATGTTGAAACTTTCTTTTGACTGAACAGCTTGGAAACAGTTTTTTTGTAGAATCTGCAAAGGGACATTTGGGAACCCTTTGAGGCCTACCGTGAAAAAGGAAATATCTTCACACAAAAAATAGAGAAGCTTTCTGACAAACTTATTTGTGATGTGTTCATTCAACTCACAGAGTTGAACATTTCTTTTGATTGAACAGTTTGGAAACTGTCTTTTTCTATAATCTGCAAAGGGATATTTCTGAGTGGTTTGAGGCCTGAGGTGAATAAGGAAATAACTTCTATTAAAAATTAGACAGAAGGTTTTTGTGAAAATTCTTTGTGATGTTTGCATTCAACTCACCGATTTGAACATTTATTTTGATTGAGCAGTTTGGAAATAGTCTTTTTCTTCAATCCACAAGGGGATATTTGGGAGCCCTTTGAGGTCTAAGTTGAAAAAGGAAATATATTCACATAAAAAGTAGATGGAAGCATTCTGAGAAAATTTTTTGTGATACATGTATTCATCTCACAGAGTTCAACATTTGTCTTGATGGAGCAGTTTGGAAACGGTCTTTTTGTAGAATCTGCAAAGGGATATTTGAGATCATTTTTAAGCCCATGTTGAAAAAGGGAATAGGGAATATCTTCACATAAGAACTAGATAGAAGCTTTGTGAGAAAATTCATTGTGATGTGTGCATTCATTTCACAGAGTTGAATCTTTCTTTTTTTTTCTTTTATTATTATACTTTAAGTTTTAGGATACATGTGCACATTGTGCAGGTTAGTTACATATGTATACATGTGCCACACTGGTGCACTGCACCCACTAACTTGTCCTCTAGCATTAGGTATATCTCCCAATGCTATCCCTCCCCCCTCCCCCAACCCCACAACAGTCCCCAGAGTGTGATGTTCCCCTTCCTGTGTCCATGTGATCTCATTGTTCAATTCCCAACTATGAGTGAGAATATGCAGTGTTTGACTTTTTGTTCTTGCGATAGTTTACTGAGAATGATGATTTCCAATTTCATCCATGTCCCTACAAAGGACATGAACTCATCATTTTTTATGGCTGCATAGTATTCCATGGTGTATATGTGCCACATTTTCTTAATCCAGTCTACCATTGTTGGACATTTGGGTTGGTTCCAAGTCTTTGCTATAGTAACCAGTAACCAGAACAGCATGGTACTGGTACCAAAACAGAGATATAGATCAATGGAACAGAACAGAGCCCTCAGAAATAACACCGCCTATCTACAATCTGATCTTTGACAAACCTGAGAAAAACAAGCAATGGGGAAAGGATTCCCTATTTAATAAATGGTGCTGGGAAAACTGGCTAGCCATATGTAGAAAGCGGAAACTGAATCCCTTCCTGAATCTTTCTTTTGATTGAGTAGTTTGGAAACAGTCTTATTGTAGAATCTGCAAATGGATATTTGGAGTGCTTTGAAGCCTACGGTGAAAAAGGAAATATCTTCACATAAATCTAGAAAGAAGATTTTTCAGAAACTTCTTTGTGTTGTGTGCATTCATTTCACAGAAATGAACCTTTGTTTTGATTGAGCAGTTTGAAAATGTCTTTTTGTATAAGCTGCAAAGGGGTATTTGAGAGCTCCTTGAGGCCTATGGTGAAAAGAAAATATCTTCACATAAGAACTACATAGAAGCATTCTGAGAAACTTCTTTGTGATGTGTGCATTCATCTGACAGAGTTGAACATTTCTTTTGATTAAACAGTTTGGATACAGTCTTTTTCTAGAATCTGCAAAGGAATACTTCTGAAAGGCTTGTGGCCTATGGTGAAAAAGGAAATATTTCACATAAAAAATAGAGAGAAGCTTTCTGAGAAACTTCTTTGTGATGGGTGTATTCATCTCACTGAGTTGAAACTTTCTTTTCATTGAGCAGTTTGGAAGCAGCCTTTTCGTAGAATCTGCAAAGGGATACTTGGTATCCCTTTGAGGCCATTGGTGTAAAAGGAAATATCTTCACATAAAAACTAGACAGAAGCTTTCTGAGAAACTTCTTTGTCATGCCTGCATTCATCTCACAGAGTTGAAACTTTCTTTTGATTGAGCAGTTAGGAAACAGTCTTTTTGTAGAATCTTCAAAGGGATATTTGGGAGCCCTTTGTGGTAAAATGTGAAAAGGGAAATATCTTCAGATAACTACACAGAAGGTTTATGAGGAACCTCTGTGTGATGTGTGCATTTATCTCACAGAGTTGTAATTTTCTTTTGATTGAACAGTTTGGTAACATTCTTTTTGTAAAATCTGCAAAGGGATATTTGGGAGCCCTTTGTGGTAAAATGTGAAAAGGGAAATATCTTCAGATAACTACACAGAAGGTTTATGAGGAACCTCTGTGTGACGTGTGCATTTATCTCACAGAGTTGTAATTTTCTTTCGATTGAACAGTTTGGTAACATTCTTTTTGTAAAATCTGCTAAGGGATATTTGGGATCCCTTTGAGGCTTATGGTGAAATAGGAAGCATATTCACATAAAAACTAGACAGAAACTTTCTCAGAAACTTTTTGTGATGTGTGCATTCATCTCATAGAGGTGAAACTTTCTTTTGATTGAGCAGTTTTGATCTTTTTGTAAAATCTGCAAAGGGATATTAGGGATCCCTTTGAGGCCTATCATGAAAAAGGAAATATACTCACATAAAACTAGACAGAAACTTTCTCAGAAACTTCTTTGTGTTGTGTGCATTCATCTCAAAGAGTTGAATCTTTCTTTGATTCAGCAGTTTGGAAACAACACTCTTTTTGTAGAATCGGCAAAGGGATATTTCAGATTCCTTTAAGGCCCACAGTGAAAAAGGGAATATCTTCACATAAAAATTAGACAGAAGATTTTTGAGAAACTTCTTTGTGATGCGTGCATTCCTCTCACAGAGTTGAAACTTCCTTTTGATTGAGCAGTTTGGAAACAGTCTTTTTATAGAATCTGCAAAGGGATATTTCTCAGCGCTTTGAGTACTATGGTGAAAAAGGAAATATCTTCTTATAAAAACTAGATAGAAGCTTTCTGAGAAACTTATTTATGATGTGTGCATTCATGTGACAGAGTTGAATCTTTCCTTTGATTGAGCAGTTTTGAAACAGTCTTTTTGTAGAATCTGCAAAGGGATATTTGGGGGCCCTTCGAGGCCTATGGTGAAAAAGGAAATATATTCATAAAAACTAGACAGAAGCTTTCTGAGAAACTTCTTTATGATGTGTGCATTCATCTCACAGAGCTGAACCTTTGTCTTGATTGAGAAGTTTGGAAACAGTCTTTTAGGAGAATCTTTAATGTGATATTTTTGAGCGGTTTGAGGCCTAAGGAGAAAAAAAGGAAATATCTTGATATAAAAACTAGACAGAAGATTTCTGAGGAACTTTTTTGTGATATGTGCATTCATCTCACAGAGTTGAACTTTCCTTTTGTTTGAGCAGTTTGATAACAGTCTTTTTGTAGAACCTGCAAAGAGATATTTGGAATCCCTTTAATGACTATGGTGAAAAAGGAAATATATTTACATAAAAACTAGACAGATGATATCTCATAGTGGTTTTGATTTGCATTGCTCTGATGGCCAGTGATGATGAGCATTTCTTCATGTGTTTTTTGGCTGCATAAATGTCTTCTTTTGAGAAGTGTCTGTTCATGTCCTTCGCCCACTTTTTGATGGGGTTGTTTGTTTTTTTCTTGTAAATTTGTTTGAGTTCATTGTAGATTCTGGATATTAGCCCTTTGTCAGATCAGTAGGTTGCGAAAATTTTCTCCCATGTTGTAGGTTGCCTGTTCACTCTGATGGTAGTTTCTTTTGCTGTGCAGAAGCTCTTTAGTTTAATTAGATCCCATTTGTCAATTTTGGCTTTTGTTGTCATTGCTTTTGGTGTTTTGGACATGAAGTCCTTGCCCACGCCTATGTCCTGAATGGTAATGTCTAGGTTTTCTTCTAGGGTTTTTATGGTTTTAGGTCTAACGTTTAAATCTTTAATCCATCTTGAATGGCAATCATTAAAAAGTCAGGAAACAACAGGTGCTGGAGAGGATGTGGAGAAATAGGAACACTTTTACACTGTTGGTGGGACTGTAAACTAATTCAACCATTGTGGAAGTCAGTGTGGCAATTCCTCAGGGATCTAGAACTAGAAATACCATTTGACCCAGCCATCCCATTACTGGGTATATACCCAAAGGACTATAAATCATGCTGCTATAAAGACACATGCACACGTATGTTTATTGCGGCACTATTCACAATAGCAAAGACTTGGAACCAACCCAAATGTCCAACAATGATAGACTGGATTAAGAAAATGTGGCACACATACACCATGGAATACTATGCAGCCATAAAAAATGATGAGTTCCTATCCTTTGTAGGGACATGGATGAAATTGGAAACCATCATTCTCAGTAAACTATCGCAAGAACAAAAAACCAAACACCGCATATTCTCACTCATAGGTGGGAATTGAACAATGAGATCACATGGACACAGGAAGGGGAATATCACACTCTGGGGACTGTGGTGGGGTCGGGGGAGGGGGGAGGGATAGCATTGGGAGATATACCTAATGCTAGATGACACATTAGTGGGTGCAGCGCACCAGCATGGCACATGTATACATATGTAACTAACCTGCACAATGTGCACATGTACCCTAATACTTAGAGTATAATAAAAAATAAAAAAAATAAAAAAAAAAAAACTAGACAGAATCTTTCTGAGAAACTTCTTTTTGATGTGTGCATTCATCTCACAGAGTTGAAACTTTCCTTTGGTTGAGCAGTTTGGAAACAGTCTTTTTAGAATCTGCAAAGGGATATTTTGGATCCCTTTGAGGCCCATGGTGAAAAAGGGAATAACTACATATAAAAACCAGACAGAAGCTTTCTCAGAAACATCTTTCTGTGCGTGCATGTATCTCAAAGCATTGAAACTTTCTTTTGAGCAGTTTTGAAGGAATCTTTTTGCAGAATCTGCAAAAGGATATTTCTGAGTGGCTTGTGGCCTAAGGTGAAAAAGGAAATATCTTCATATAATAACTAGACAGAAGCATTCTGAGAAACTTCTTTGTGATGTGTGCATTCATCTCACCAAGTTGAACCTATCTTTTGATTGAGCCGCTTGGAAACGTTCTTTTTGTAGAATCTGCAAAGTGATATTTTAGGGCATTTTGAGGCCCATGGTGGAAAAGGAAATATCTTCACATAAAAACTAGACAGAAGCTTTCTGAAAAACTGCTTTCAGATGTGTGAATTCACTCAGAGTTGTAACTTACTTTTGATTGCACAGTTTGGAAATAGTCTTTTTGTAGAATCTGCAAAAGGATATTTCGGAGCCCTTTGAGGCCTACTTTGAAAAAGGAATTATCTTCACATTAAAACTAGGCAGAAATTTTCTGAGATACACTTTTGTTATGTGTGCATTCATCTCGTAGATTTGAACCTTCCTTTTGATTCAACAGTTTGGAAACAGTCTTTTGTAGCATCTGCAAAGTGATATTTCAGGGCGCTTTGAGGCCTACAGTGAAAAAGGAAATAACTTCCCATAAAAACTAGAAAGAAGCTTTCTGAGAAACTTCTTTGTGATGCATGCATTTATCTCACAGAGTTGAAACTTTCTTATTTGAGCAGTTTGAAAACTGTCTTTTTTTAGAATCTGCAAAGGGATATTTGTGAGCTTTTTGAGGTCTTTGGTGAAAAAGAAAATATCTTCACATAAAAACTAGTCAGAAGCTTTCTCAGAAACTTCTTTGTGATGTGTGTATTCATCTCACAGATTTGAAACTTTTTTTGATCATGCAGTTTGGAAAACGTCTTTTTGTCATATCTTCAAAGTGATATTTCTGAGTGTTTTGAGGACTAAGATAAAAAAGGAAATATCTTCACATAAAATATAAACAGAAGCTTTCTGAAGGCCTTTTTTGTTATGTGTGTATTCATCTCACAGAGTTGAACCTTTCTTTTGATTGAGCAGCTTGGAAACAGTCTTTGCACATATCACAAAAGTTTCCCAGAAATCATCTACCTATTCACCATAGGCCTCTAACAGCTCAGAAATATCCCTTTGAAGATTCTAGAAAAAGACTGTTTCCAAACTGCTCAATCAAAAGAAAGTTTCAACTCTGTGATGAATGCACGCATCACAAAAAGTTTCCCAGAAAGCTTCTGTCTAGTTTTTATGTGAAGATATTTCATTTTTCACCTTTGGCCATGAACGTATCCCAAATATATCTTTGCAGATTCTACAAAAAATACTGTTTCCAAACTACTCAATCAAAGGATATGTTCAGCTCTGTGAGAGAAATGCACAGATCACAAAGTAGTTTCTCAGAAAACATCTGTCTAGTTTTTACATGAAGATATTTCCTTTTTCATCATAGGCCTCAAACCACTCAGAAATAGCCCAGTGTGGATTGTACAAAAAGAATGTTTCCAAACCGATCAATCAAAAGAAAGGTTCAACTCGGTGAGAGGAATGCACACATCAAAAGTAGTTTCTCAGAAAACTTCTGTCTAGTTTTTATGTGAAGATATTTTCTTTTTCACCATAGGCCTCAAGCTGTTCAAAAATAACCCTTGGCAGATTCTACAAACAGACTGTTTTCAAACTTCTCAATCAAAAGAAAGTTTCAACTCTGTGAGATGAATGCACATATCATGAAGAAGTTTCTGAGAAAGCTTCTGTCTAGATTTTATGTGAAGATATTTCCTTTATCTCCATAGGCTTCAAGGGTCTCCCAAATATCCCTTTGCAGATGCTACAAAATGACTGTTTCCAAAATATTCACTCAAAAATAATTTTCAACTCTGTGAGTTGAATGCACACATCACAAAGAAGTTTCTCAGAAACCTTCTTTCTAGTTTTTATGTGAAGATATTTCCCTTTTCACCATAGGCCTCAAGGGGCTCCCAAATGTCCCTTGCAGATTCTGAAAAAAGACTATTTCCAAACTGTTCAATCAAAAGAAAGTTTCAACTCTGTCAGGTGAATGCACACATCATAAAGAAGTTTCTCCGAAAGCTTCTGTCTAGTTTTTACATGAAGATATTTCCTTTTTCACCATAGGCCTCTAACCGTTCAGAAATATCCCTTTGCAGATAGTATCAAAAGACTGTTTGCAAACTGCTCAATAAAAACGTATGTTCATCTCTGTGAGATAAATGCACACGTCACAAAAAAGTTTCTCAGAAAACTTCTGTCTAGTTTTCATATAAAGATATTTCCTTTTCCATAACAGGCCTCAAAACACTCAAAAATACCCTAGTGCGGATTCTACAAAAAGACTGTTTCCAAACGGATCAATCAAAACAAATATTCAACTGTGGGAGATGAATGCAGATATCACAAAGAAGTTTTTCAGAAAGCTTCTGTCCAGTTTTTATTTCAAGATATTCCCTTTTTCACCATGGACCTCAAAGGGATCCCAAATATCCCTTTGCAGATTATACAAAAAGACCGTTTCCAAACTGCTCAATCAAAAGAAAGTTTCAACTCTGTGAGATGAATGCTCGCAGCACAAATAAGTTTTTCAGAAAGCTTCTATCTAGTTTTTATGTGAAGATATTTCCTTTTACACCATAGGCCTCGAAGGCCTCACAAATATCCTTAGGCTGATTCTAGAAAAAGACTGATTCCAAACTGTTCAGTCAAAAGAAAGGTACAAACCTGTGAGATGAATGCACACATCAAAAAAGTGTGTCTCAGAAAATTTCTGTCTAGTTTTTATGTGAAGATAATTCCTTTTTCAAAATAGGCCTCAAAGAGCTTCCAAATATCCCTTTGCAGATTCTGGAAAAATAATGTTTCCAAACTACTCAATCAAAAGAATGGTTCATCTTTGGGAGATGAAAGCACGCATCACAAAATAGTTTCTCAGAAAGCTTATGCCTAGTTTTTATGTGAAGATATTTCCTTCTTCACCGTAGGCCTCAATCCGCTCAGAAACATCCCTTTGCAGATTCTACAAAAAGACTGTTTCCAAACTGCTCAATCAAAAGAAAATTTGAACTCTGGGAAATGAATGCACACATCACAAATAAGTTTCTCAGAAAATTTCTGTCTAGTTTTTATATGAAAATATTCCCTTTTTTACTATAGGCCTCAAAGTACCCACAAACATCCTTTTGCAGATTCTACAAAAAGACTGTGTCCAAGCTGCTCAATCAAAAGAAAGTTTCTATTCTGTGAGATGAATGCACACATCACAAAGACTTTTCTCAGAAATATTCGGTCTAGTTTTTATGTGAAGATATTTACCTTTTCACCACTGGCCTCAAACCACTCAGAAATATCCTTTTGCAGATTCTACAAAAAGACTGTTTCCAAACTGCTCAATCAAAAGAAAGCTTCAACTCTGTGAGATGAACACACACATCACAAATAAGTTTCTCAGAAAGAATCTGTCTAGTTTTTACGTGAAGATATTCCCTTTTTTACCATGGGCCTCAAATGGATCCCAAATATCCCTTTGCAGATTCTACAAAAAGACTGATTCCAAACTACTCAATCAAAACAAAGGTTGAACTCTGTCAGATGAATACACGCATCACAAAGAAGTTTCTCAGAAAACTTCTGTACAATTTTTATGTGAACATATTTCCTTTTTCACCATGAGCTTCAAAGGGCTCCCAAATATCCTTTTGCAAATCCTACAAGAAAACTGTTTCCAAACTGCTCAATCAAAATAAAGGTTCAACTCTGGCAGATGAATTTACACATCACAAAGAAGTTTCTCAGAAAGCTTCTGACTAGTTTTTACGTGAAGATATTTGCTTTTTCACCGTAGGCCTCAAAGGGCTCCAAATATCCCTTTGCAGAATTTACAAGAAGACTGTTTCCCAACTGCTCAAACAAAAGAAAGGTTCAACTCAGTGAGATGAATAGACACGTCACAAAGACGTTTCCCAGAAAGCTTCTGTCTAGTTTTTTTGTGAAGATATTCCCTTTTTCACCATGGTCCTCAAAGGTATCCCAAATATCCCTTTGCAGATTCTACAAAAAGACTTTCAAAACTGCTCAATCGAAAGTAAGGTTCAACTCTGTGAGTTGAATGCACACATCAAAAAGAAGCTTCTCTGAAAGCTTGTGTCTAGTATTTATGTGAACATATTTCCTTTTTCACCATAGGCCCTCAAAGGACTCCCAAATATCAATTTGCATGTTCTACCAAAAGACTGTTTCCTAACTGCTCAATCAAATAAAAATTTTAATTCCTTGAGTTGAATGCACACATCACAAACAATTTTCCCTGAAAGCTTCTGTGTAGTTTTTCTTAGAAGATATTTCCTTATTCACTGTAGTCCTCAAATCCCTCAAAAATATCCCTTTGCAGATTCTAGAAAAAGACTGATTCCAAACTGCTCAATCAAAAGAAAGGTTAAACTCTTTGAGGTGAATGCACACATCACAAATAAGTTTCTCAGAAAACTTCTGTCTAGTTTCTATTTGAAGATATTTCCTTTTTCACATTAGACCTCAAAGGGGTCCCAAATATCCCTTTACAGATTCTACAAAAGACTGTTTACAAATTGCTCAACCAAAGGAAAGTTTCAACTCTGTGAGATGAATGCTCACATCACAAAGAAGTTTCTCAGAAATCTTCTCTCTAGTTTTCATGTGAAAAGGTTACTTTTTCAACGTAGGCCTCAAAGTGTCCACAAATATCCCTTTGCAGATTCTACAAAAAGACTTTTTCCAAACTGCTCAATCAAAAGAAAGGTTCTACTCTGTTTGATGAATCCACCCATCACAAAGAAGTTTCTCAGAAAGCTTCTTTCTAGTTTTTATGTGAAGATATTTCCTTTTTCACCATAGGCCTCAAACTGGAGACAAATATCCCTTGACAGATTTTACAAAAAGACTGTTTCTAAACTGCTCAATCAAAAGAAAGGTTCAACTATGTGAGATGAATGCACACATCACAAAGAAGTTTCTCAGAATGATTCTGTCTAGTTTTTATGTGAAGATATTTTTTTTCATCATAGTCCTCAAAGGGATCCCAATTATCCCTTTGCAGACTCTGCAAAAAGACTGTTTCCAATCTGCTCAATCAAAAGTAATGTTCAACAATATGAGATGAATGCACATATCAGAAATAAGTTAATCAGAAAACTTCTCTCTAGTTTTTATGTAAAGATATATTCTTTTTTTCACCTTAGGCCTCAAATCACTGAGAAATATCACTTTGAAAATTCTCTTAAAAGACTGTTTCCAAACTGCTCAATCAAAAGAAAGGTTCAACTCTGTGAGATGAATTCACACGTCACAATTATGTTTCTCAGAAAGCTTCTACCTAGTTTTTATATGAAGATATTTCCTTTTTCAGCTCTTCAAAGGGCTCCAAATATCCCTTTGCCGATTCTATTAAAAGACTGTTTCCAAACTGCTCAATCAAAAGAAAGGTCCAACTCCGTGAGATGAATGCACACATCACAAAGAAGTCTTTCAGAAAGCTTATGTCTAGTCTTTTTTGAAGATATTCCCTTTTTCACCATAGTCCTCAAAGGGATCCCAAATATCCCTTTACAGATTCTACAAAAAGACTGTTTCCAAACTGTTCAACCAAAAGAAAGTTTCAACTCTGAGATGAATGCACTCATCACAAAGAAGATTTTCAGGATCCTTCTGTCTAGTTTTTATGGAAGATATTTTCTTTTCCACCATATAACTCAAAGGTCTTCAAATTATCCCTTTGCAGATATTACAAAAAGACTGTATCCAAACTGCTCAGTCAAAAGAAATTTTCAACTCTGTGAGATGAATGCACACATCTCAAAGAAGTTTCTTGGAATGCTTCTGTCTAGTTTTTATGTGAAGATATTTCCTTTTCAGCTATAGGCCTCAAAGCGCTCCCAATATCCATTTGCAGATACTACAAAAAGAGTGTTTCCAAACTGCTCAATCAAAAGAAACGTTCCACTCTGCGAGATGAATGCACTCATTACAATGAAGTTTCTCGGAAAGCCTATGGTGAAAAAAAAAAAACTCTTTTTGTAGAATCTGCAAAGGGATATATTTTATCCCTTTGAGGACTATGGTGAAAAATGGAATATCTTCAAAAAACCTGAGACAGAAGCCTTCTGAAATACTTCTTTGTGATGTGTGCATTCATCTCACACAGTTGAACCTTTCTTTTGATTGAGCAGTTTGGAAACAGTCCTTTTGTAGAATCTGCAAAGGGATATTGGTAGTCTTTTGAGGCCAATGGTGAAAAAGTGAATATCTTTACATAATAACTAGACAGAGGCTTTCAGAGAAGTGTCCTCAAATGTCCCTTTGATTGAGCAGTTTGGAAACTGCCTTTTTGTAGAATCTGCAAAGGGATATTTCTGAGCAGCTTGAGGCCTATGGTTAAAAAGGAAATACCCTCACATAAAAACTAGACAGAAGCTTTCTGAGGAACTTCTGTGTGATGTGTGCATTCATCTCACACATTTGAAGATGTGTGCTTTCCTCTCACAGAGTTGAAACTTTCTTTTGATTGAGCAGCTTGGACACAGTTTTTTCATAGAATCTACATGGGATATTTGAGGGGGCTTTGAGGCCTATGGTGAAAAAGGAAATATATTCACATAAAAGCTACACAGAAGTTTTCCGAGAATTTTTTTCTTTGTGATGTGTGCATTCATCTCAGAGAGCTGAAACTTTCTTTTGATTGTGCAGTTTTGAAACAGTGTTTTTGTAGGATCTGCAAAGGGATATTTCTCTGCGGTGTAAGGCCTATGGTGAAAAAGGAAATATCTTCACAAAAAAACTAGACAGAAGCTTTCTGAGAAACTTGTTTGTTTTGTGTTCATTCAACTCACAGAGTTGAAACTTTATTTGATTGAGCAGTTTGGAAACAGTTTTTTTGTAGTATCTGCAAAGGGATATTTGAGGGCCTTTTGGTGCCAATTTTGAGAAAGAAAATATCTTCACATAAAAACTAGACAGAAGCTTTCTGAGAAACTTCTTTGTGATGCATGTATACATCTCACAGAGTTGAAATTTTCTTTTGATTGAGCAGTCTGGAAAAATTCTTTTTGCAGAATCTACAAATGGATATGTGGGAACCCTTTGAGGCCCATGGAGAAAAAGGAAATATCCTCACAGAAACACTAGTCAGAAGCTTTCTCAGAAACATTTTGTGATGTGTGCATTCATCTCACAGAGTTAAACCTTTCTTTCAATTGAGCAGTTTTGAAGCAGTCTTTTTTTAGAATCGGCAAAGGGATATTTGGGAAACTTTAGAGGCCTATTTTGAAAAAGAAATTTTCTTTACATAAAAATTGGACACATTTTTTCTGAGAAACTCTTCTGTGATGAATGCATTCATATCACAGTGTTGAACCTATTTTTGATTGAGCAGTTTGGAAACAGTGTGTTTGTAGAATCTGCAAAGGGATGTTTCTGAAATACTTGACACCTAAGGTGAAAAAGGAAATATCTTCACAAGAAACTAGATAGAGTCTTTCTAAGAAGCTTCTTTGTGATGTGTGCATTCATATCACAGAGTTGAACCTTTCTTTTGATTGAGAAGTTTGGAAATAGTCTTTTTCTAGAATCTGCAAGGGGATATTTCTGAGCATTTTGAGGCCTGTGGTGAATAAGGAAATATCTTCACATAAAAACTAGACAGAAGTTTGCTGAGAAACTTCCTTTTGATGCATGGATTCAATGCACAGAGTTGAACCTTTCTTTTGGTTGAGCATTTTGGAAACAGTATTTTTGTAGAATCTGCAAAGTGATATTTGGGAGCCATTTGATGCCTATGGTGAAAAAGGAAATATCTTCACATAAAAACTAGACAGAAGCTTTCTGATAAATTCCTTTGTGATGTGCACATTCATCTCACAGAGTTGAACCTTTCTTTTGAAAGAGCAGTTTGGATAGAGTCTTTTTGTAGAATCTTCAAAGGGATATTTCTGAGCAGTTTGAGGCCTATGGTGAAAAAGGAAATATCTGCACAAAAAACTAGACAGAAGCTTTCTGAGAAACTTCTTTGTGATGTGTGCATTTATTTCTCAGAGTTGAAACTTTCTTTCAATTGAGCAGTTTGGAAACAGTCTTTTTCTACAATCTGAAAACGGATATTTTGGATCCCTATGAGGCCAATGTTAAAAAAGGGAATATCTTCACATAAAAACTAGACAGAAGCTTTCTGAGATACCTCTTTGTGATGTCTGCATTCGCCTCACAAAGTTGAACTTTTCTATTGGTGGAGCAGTTTGGGAACACTCTTTTTCTAGAATGTGAAATGGGACATTTTGGAGACCTTTCAGGCCCATTTTGAAAATGGAATTATCTTCACATAAAAACTAGACAGAAATTTTCTGAGATACCCTTTTGTGATGTGTGCATTCATCTCACACAGTTGAAAGCTTCTTTTGATTGAGCCGTTTGGAAACAGTCTTTTGTAGAATCTGCAAAGTGATATTTGAAGGCGCATTGAGGCCTATGGTGAAAAAGGAAATATCTTCACATAGAAACTGGAGAGAAGCTTTCTGAGAAACTTCTTTGTGATGCGTGCATTCATCTCACAGAGTTGAAACTTACTTTTGATTGAGCAGTTTGGAAACAGTCTTTTTCTAGAATTTGAATATGGATATTTAGGATCCCTTTGAGGCCAATGTTAAAAAAGGGAATATCTTCACTTAAAAACTAGACAGAAGCATTCTGAAAAACTTCTTTGTGATGCATGCATTCATCTCACAGATTTGAAGCTGTCTTTTGATTGAACAGTTTGGAAACCATCATTTTGTAGAATCTGCAAAGGGATATTTCTGAGCAGTTTGTGGTCTATTGTGAAAAAGGAAATATCTTCAAAATAAACTAGACAGAAGCTTACTGAGAAACTTCTTTGTGATGTGTGAATTAAACTCACAGAGTTGAAACTTTATTTTGATTGAGCAGTTTGGAAACAGTCTTTTTATAGAATCTGCAAAGGAATATTTGGGAGCCGTTCGAGGTCTATGGTGAAAAAGGAAATATCTTCACATAAAAACTAGAAAGCAGCTTTCTGAAGAACTTCTTTGTGATGTGTGCATTCATCTCACAGAGTGAAAGCTTTCTTTTGATTTAGCAGTTTGGAAACCGTCTTTTTGTAGAATCTGCAAAGGAATATTTGGGATCCCTTTGAGGACTATGGTGAAAAAGGAAATATCTTCACATGAAAACTAGACAGAAACTTTCTGAGAAACTTCTTTGTGATGTGTGAATTCATCTCACAGTGTTGAACCATTCTTTTGATTGAGCAATTTGGAAACAGTCTTTTTGTAGAATCTGCAAAGGGATATTTCTGAGTAGTTTGAGGCCTATGGTGAAAAAGGATATATCTTCACATAAAAACTAGACAATCTTCCTGATAATCTTCTTTTCACTGTGGGCTTTCAACTTACAGAGTTGAAACTTTGTTTTGATAGAGCAGTTTTGATACAGTCCTTTTCTAGAATCTGAAAAGGGATACTAGAAGGTGGTTTGAGGCCTATGATGCATAAGGAAATATCATCACATAAAAACTAGACAGAACCTTTCTGAGAAACATCTTTGTTATGTATGCATTCACCTCAGAGAGCTAAAACTTTCTTCTGTTTGAGCAGTTTGGAAACAGTCTTTTGTAGAATCCACAAAGGGATATTTCTGAGTGGCTTGAGACCTATTGTGAAAAAGGAAATATGTTCACATAAAAACTACTCAGAAGCTTTTTGAGAAACTTCTTTGTGATGTGTGCATTCGTCTCACACAGTTGAAATTTTCTTTTGATTATGCAGTTTGGAAACAGTCTTCTTGTAGAATCCGTAAAGGGATATTTCTGAGCTTTTTGAGGCCTATTGTGAAAAAGGAAATATGTTCATAAAAAAACTACACGAAAGCTTTTTGAGAAACTTTTTGTGATGTGTGCATTCAACTCAAAGAGTTGAACCTTTCTTTTGTTTGAGCAGTTTGGAAACAGTCTTTTTATAGAATCTGCAAAGGGATATTTCTGAGCGGTTTGAGGCTTATGGTGAAAAAGGAAATATCTTCACATAAAAACTAGACAGAAGCTTTCTGTGAAACTTCTTTGTGATGTGTGAATTCATCTCACAGACTTGAACCATTCTTTTGATTGAGTAGTTTGGAAATACTCATTTTGTAGAATCTGCAATGGGACCCTTGAGTGCTTTTTCAGGCCTATGGTGGGGAATATATTCACATTAAAACTAGACAGAAGCTTTCTGAGAAAGGTCTTTGTGATGCATGCATTCATCTCAAAGAGTTCAAATTTACTTTTGACTAAGCAGTGTGTAAACAGTCTTTTTGTAGAATCTACAAGTGATATTTTTGAGCCATTTGTGGCCTACAGTGAAAAAGGAAATATTTCCACATAAAAACTAGACAGAATGATTCTGACAAACGTCTTTGTAATGTGTGCATACATCTGACAGAGCTGAAACTTTCTTTTGATTAAGCAGTTTGGAAACCATCTTTTTGTATAATCTGCAAAGGGATATCGCAGAGCAGTTTGTGGCCTATTGTGAAAAAGGAAACATATTAACATAAAAACGAGGCAGAATATTTCTGAGGAACTTCTGAGTGATGTGTGCATTAATCTCACAGAGTTGAAACTTTCTTTTGATTGAGCAATTTGAGAACGTCATTTTGTAGAATCTGCAAAGGGATATTTCTGAGTGATTTGAGGCCTATGCTGAAATAGGAAATATCTTCACATAAAAACTATACAGATGCATTCTGAGAAACTTCTTCTGTTGTGTCCATTCATCTCACAAACTTGAATCTTTCTTTTGATTGAGCAGTTTGGAAACAGTCTTTTTATAGAATCCCCAAAGGGATACTTTTCAGCCATTTATGGCTTATGGTGAAAAATGAAATATCTTCACAAAAAAACTAGACAGAAACTTTCTGAGAAATTTCTTTGTGATGTGTGCATTCACCTCACAGAGTTGAAACTTTGTTTTGATTGAGCAGTTTGGAAACGGTCTTAGTCTAGAATGTGCAAAGGAACATTTCAGAGCAGTTCAAGGCCTTTGGTGAAAAGAGAATATCTTCACATAAAAAGAAGACCAAAGATTTCTGAGAAACTTGTTTGTTATGCTTGCATTCATCTAACAGAGTTGCAATTGTCTTTTAATTGAGCAGTTAGGAAACATCCTTTTTCTAGAATCTGCAAAGGGATATTTGGGAGCCCTCTGAGGCCTATTTTGAAAAAGGAATTACCTTCACAGAAAAAGTAGATAGTACATTTCAGAGGAACTTGTTTGTAATTGTGCATTCATCTCACAGTCCTAAAACTTTCCTTTGATTGAACAGTTCAGAAACAGTCTTTTTGTACAACCTGCAACATGATATATGGGATCCCTTTGAGGCTTATGGTAAAAAAGGAAATATCTTCACATGAAAACTAGACAGAAGCTTTCTGAGAAACTTCTTTGTGATGAGTGCATTCATCTCACAGAGTTGAAAATTTCTTTTGATTGAGCAGCTGGAAATAGTCCTTTTGTAGCATCTGCAAAGTGATATTTGAGGGTGCAGTGAGGCATATGGTGAAAAAGGAAATATCTTCACATAAAAACTAGACAGAAACTTTCTGGAAAGCTTCTTTGTGATGTGTGCATCTGTCTCTCAGAGTTGAAACTTAGTTTCAATTTTGCAGTATGGAAAGAGTCTTTTTGTAGAATCTGCAAAGGGATATTTGGGAGCCCTTCGAGGAATATGGTGAAAAAAGGAAATATTTTCACATAAAAACTAGACAGAAGATTTCTGAGGAACTCCTTAGTGCTGTGTGCATTCATCACACCGAGTTGAACCTTTCTTTTGATTGAGCAGTTTGGAAGCAGTCTTTTTGTGAAATCTGCAAGGGGATATTTCGGAGCCCTTTGAGGCCTATTTTGAAAAAGGAATTATCTTCACATAAAAACCAAATAGAAATTTTCTGAGAAACTCCTTTGTGTCGTGTGCATTCATCTCACATAATTGAAACTTCCTTTTTATTGAGAAGTTTGGAAACAGTCTTTTTGTAGAATCTGCAAAAGGACATTTGAGGTCACTTTGAGGCCTATGATGAAACAGGAAATATCTTCACATAAAAATAGACAGAAGCCTTCTGGGAAACTTCTTTGTGATTTGTGTATTCATCTCACAGACTTGAAACTTTCATTTGATTGAGCAGTTTGGTAACTGTCTTTTTCTAGAATCTGCAAAGGGATATATCTCAGGGTATTGAGGCCTATGGTAGAAAAGGAAATATCCTCACACAAAAAGTAGACAGAAGCTTTCTGAGAAACTTCTTTGTGATGCGTGCATTCATCCTACAGAGCTGAAACTTTCTTTTGATTCAGCAGTTTGGAAACAGTATTTTTCTAGAATCTCCAAGGGGATATTTCTAAGTGGTTTCAGGCCTATGGTTAAAAAGGAAATATCTTCACATAAAAACTAGACAGATTCTTTCTCAGAAACTTCTTTGTAATGAGTGCATTCATCTCAAAAGTTGAACATTTCTTTTGATTGAGCAGTTTGGAAACAGTCTTATTCTAGAATGTGCAATGGCATATTTTGGAGCAGTTTGAGGCCTTTGTTGAAAAAGGGAATATCTTCACATAAAAACTAGATTGAAGATTTCTGAGAAACTTGTTTGTGATGCATGCATTCATCTAACAGAGTTGAAATATTCTTTTGATTGAGCAGTTTGGAAACAGACTTTTGGTAGAATCTGCAAAGGGATATTTGGGAGCCCTTTGAGGCCTGTTATGAAAAAGGAAATATGTTCACACAAAAGCTAGACAGAAGCTTTCTGAGAAACTACTTTGTGATGTGTGCATTCATCTCACAGAGTGGAACCTTTCTTTTGACTGAGCAGTTTGGAAACAGTCTTTTTGTAGAATCTGAAAAGGGATATTTGGAATCCCTTTGAGGCCATGCTGAAAAAGGGAATATCTTCACATAAAAACTAGACAGGAGCTTTCTGACAAACTTCTCGGTGATGTGTGCATTCATCTCACAGAGTTGAAACTTTCTTTTGATTGAGCAGTTTGGACACACTCTTTTTTTAGAATCTGCAAAGGGATATTTGCGAGCACTTTGAGGCCCGTGGTGAAAAAGGAAATATCTTCACATAAAAACTACACAGAAGCTTTCTCAGAAACTTCTTCATGATGTGTGCATTCAACACACAGAGTTGAAACTTTCTTTTGATTGAGCAGTTTGGAAAGAGTCTTTTTGTAGAATCTGCAAAGGGATATTTGGGAGCCCTTTGAGACCTATGGTGAAAAAGAAAATATGTTCACATAAAAACTAGACAGAAGCTTTCTGGGAAACTTCTTCATGATGTGTGTATTCATCTCACAGAGTTGAAACTTTCGTTTGATTGAGAAGCTAGGAAATGGTCCTTTTGTAGAATCTGCAATGGGATATTTGGGAGTGATTTGAGGCCTGTGGTGAAAAAGGAAGTATGTTCACATAAAAAGTAGACAGAATCTTTCTGACAAAATATTTGAGATGCGTGCATTCATCTCACAGAGTTGAACCTTTCTTTTGATTGAGCAGTTTTGAAACAGTATTTTGTAGATCTGCAAAGTGATATTTTGAATCCATTTGAGGCCTATGGTGAAAAAGGGAATATCTTCACGTAAAAACTAGACAGAAAATTACTGAGAAACTTCTTTGCGATGTGTGCATTCATCTAACAGAGTTGAGCCTTTCTTTTGATTGAGCAGTTTGGAAACTGTCTTTTTGTAGAATCTGCAAAGGTATATTTCTCAGAGGTTTGAGGCCTATGGTGAAAAAGGAAATATCTTCGTGTAAAAACTGGATGGAAGCATTTTGCCAAACTTCTTTGTGATGTGTGTATTCACCTGACAGAGTTTTACCTTTTTTTTCATTGTGCAGTTTGGAGAGGTTCTTTTTGTAGAATCTGCAAAGGGATATTTGGGAGCCCTTCAAGGACTATGGTAAAAAGAGCAATATCTTCACATAATAACTAGACAGAAGCTCTCTGAGAATCTTCTTTGTGTTGTGTGCATTCATGTCACAGAGTTGAACCTTTCTTTTGATTGACCAGTTTTGAAACTGTCTTTTTATAAAATCTGCAAAGGGATATTTGGAATCCGTTTGAGGCCTACGGTGAAAAAGCAAATATCATCACATAAAAAATAGAAGCTTTCTGAGAAACTTATTTGTGATATGTGCATTCATCTCTCAGATTTGAACCTTCCTTTGATTGAGCTCTTTGGAAACATTCTTTTTGAGGAATCTGCAAAGGGATAGTTTGTAGCCCTCTGAGGCCTATGTTGAAAAAGGAAATGTCCTCACATAAAAACTAGACAGAAGCTTTCTCAGAAACTTATTTCTGATGTGTGTATTCAATAAATAGAGTTGAACATTTCTTTTGATTGAGCAGTTTGGAAAGAGTCTTTTTGTACAATCAGCGAATGGATATTTCCGAGAGGGTTGAGGCATATGATGAGAAAGGAAATATCTTCACATAAAAAGTAGGCAGAAGCTTTCTGAGAAACTTCTTTGTGTTGTGTGTATTCACCTCACAGATTTGAACCTTTCCTTTCATTGATCAGTTTGGAAACAGCCTATTAGTAGAATCTGCAGAGGGATATTTGGGAGCCCTTTGATACCTATGGTGAAATGGGAAATATCTTCACATAAAAACTAGATGGAATCTTTCTAAGGAACTTCTATGTGATTTTTGCATTCGCCTCATGGAATTGACACTTTCTTTTGATTGAGCAGTTTGGAAAATGTCTTTTTGTAGAATCTGCAAAGGGATATTTGGGAGCCCTTTGAGGCCTATGGTAAAAAAGAAAATATGTTCACATAAAAACTAGACAGAAGCTTTCTGGGAAACTTCTTTTTGATGTGTGTATTCATCTCACAGAGTTGAAACTTTCTTTTGATTGAGAAGCTAGGAAACAGTCTTTTTGTACAATCTGCAATGGGATATTTGGGAGCACTTTAAGGCCTGTGGTGAAAAAGGAAATAGGTTCACATGAAAACTAGACAGAATCTTTCTGACAAAATATTTGAGATGCGTGCATTCATCTCACAGACTTGAACCTTTCTTTTGATTGTGCAGTTTTGAAACAATCTTTTTTTTAGATCTGCAGTGATATTTTGAATCCACTTGAAGCCTATGGTTAGAAAGGGAATATCTTCACATAAAAACTAGACAGAAAATTACTGAGAAACTTATTTGTGACGTGTGCATTCATCTAACAGAATTGAAACTTTCTTTTGATTGAGCATTTTGGTAACTGTCTCTTTGTAGAATCTGCAAAGGGATATTTCTCAGAGGTTTGAGGCCTGTGGTGAAAAAGGAAATATCTTCATGCAAAAACTAGATGGAAGCTTTTTGGGAAACTTCTTTGTGATGTGTGTATTCATCTGACAGAGTTGTACCTTTCTTTTCATTGAGCATTTTGGACGGATTCTTTTTTGTGGAATCTGCAAAGGGATATTTGGGAGCCCTTCAAGGACTACAATGAAAAGGGAAATATCTTCACATAAAACTAGACAGAATCTCTCTGAGAAACTTCTTTGTGATGTGTTCATTCATGTCACAGAGTTGAACGTTTCTTTGGATTGACCAGTTTTGAAACTCTTTTTATAAAATCTGCAAAGGGATATTTGGAATCCGTTTGAGGCCTATGGTGAAAAAGCAAATATCATCACATAAAAAAAAGACAGAAGATTTCTGAGAAACTTATTTGTGATATGTGCATTCATCTCTCTGATTTGAACCTTCCTTTGATTGAGCAGTTTGTAACATTCTTTTTGAGGAATCTGCAAAGGTATATTTCTCAGTGGTTTGAGGCCTAAGATGAAAAAGTAAATATCTTCATGTAAAAACTGGAGGGAAGCTTTTTGGGAAACTTCTTTGTGATGTGTGTACTCACCTGACAGAGTTTTACCTTTCTTTTCATTGAGCAGTTTTGACAGATTCTTTTAGTAGAATCTGCAAAGGGATATTTGGGAGCCCTTCGAGGACTACGGTGAAAAGGGAAATATCTTCACACAAAAACTAGACAGAAGCTCTCTGAGAAACTTATTTGAGATGTGTGCATTCATGTCACAGAGATGAACCTTTCTTTTGATTGACAAGTTTTGAAACTGTCTTTTTATAAAATCTGCAAAGGGATATTTGGAATCATTTTGAAGCCTTTGGTGAAAAAGGAAGTATCATCACAAAAACTAGACAGAAGTTTTCTGAGAAACGTCTTTGTGATATATGCATTCATCTCTCAGATTTGAACCTTCCTTTGATTGAGCAGTTTGGAAACATTCTTTTTGAGGAATCCGGAAAGGGATATTTGGGAGTCCTTCGAGGACTATGGTGAAAAAGGAAATATCTTCACATAAAAACTAGGCAGAAGCTTTCTCAGGAACTTCTGTGTGATGTGTGCATTCATGTCACAGAGTTGAAAATTTCTTTTCATTGAGCAGTTTGGAAACAGTTTTTTTCTAGAATCTGCAAAGGTATATTTTGGAGCCTTTCAAGGCATATTTTGAAAAAGGAATTATCTTCACATAAAAACTAGACAGAAATTTTCTGATAAACTTTTTATTGATGTGTGGATTCATCTCACAGAGCTGAAACTATCTTTTGATTGAGCAGTTTGGAAACAGTCTTTTTCTAGAATCTGCAAAGTGATATTTGTGGGTGCTTTCAGGCCTATGCTGAAAAAGAAAATATCATCACATAAAAACTAGACAGAAGCTTTCTCAGAAACATCTTTGTAACCTGTGCATTCATCTCACAGAGTTGAACATTTCTTTTGATTGAGCAGTTTGGAAACGGTTTTTTTCTAGAATCTGCAAAGGGATATTTCAGAGCCCTTCGATGCATATTTTGAGAAAGGAATTATCTTCACATAAAAACTAGACAGAAATATTCTGATAAACTTTTTATTGATGTGTGGATTCATCTCACAGAGCTGAAACTATCTTTTGATTGAGCACTTTGGAAACAGTCTTTTTCTAGAATCTGCAAAGTGATATTTGTGGGCGCTGTCAGGCCTATGCTGAAAAAGGAAATATCTTCATATAAAAACTAGAGAGAAGTTTTTTGAGGAACTTCTTTGTGATGTGTGCTTTCATCTCCCAGAGCTGTACCATTCTTTTGGTTGAGCAGTTTGGAAACCGTTTTTTGTAGAATCTGCAAAGGGATATTTCTGAGCGATTTGAGGCCAATGGAGAAAAAGGAAATATCTTCAAATGAAAACTAGACAGAAGCTTTATGAGAAACTTCTTTGTGATGGGTTTATTCATTTAACAGAGTTGAAACTTTCTTTTGATTGAGCAGTTTGGAGACTGTCTTTTTGTAGAATCTGCAAATAAATATTTGGGATCCCTTTGTGGCCAAAGGTGAAAAAGGGAATATCTTCACATAAAAACTAGACAGAAGCTATCTGAGAAACGACTTTGTGATGTATGCATTCATCTCACAGAGTTGAACCTTTCTTTTTCTTGAGCAGTTTGGAAAAAGTCTTTTGTAGAATCTGCAAAGGGATATTTGAGAGCCCTTTGAGGCATATTTTGAAAAAGGAATTATCTTCACATAAAAGCTAGACAGAAATTTTCTGAGAAACTTTTTTTTGATGTGTGCATTCATCTCACAGAGCGGAAATTTTCTTTTGATTGAGCAGTTTGGAAACAGTCTTTTTGTAGAATCTGCAAACGGATATTTGGGATCCTTTTGAGGCCTAAGGTGAAAAAGGGAATATCTTCATATAAAAACTAGACAGAAGCTTTCTGAGAAATGTCTCTGTGATGCGTGCATTCATCTCACAGAGTTGAACCTGTCTTTTTTTTTGAGAAGTTTGGAAAAAGTCTTTTTGTAGAATCTTCAAAGGGATATTTCTGAGCAGTTTGAGGCTTGTGGTGGAAAAGGAAATATCTACACATAAACACTAGACAGAAACTTTCTGAGAAACTTCTTTGTGATGCGTGCAGTCATCTTACAGAGTTGAACTTTCTTTTGATTGAGCAGTTTTTAAAGTCTTTTGGTAGAATCTGCAAAGGAAATATTTCTGAGTGGTTTGAGGACTATGGTGAAAAAGGAAACATCTTCACATAAAAAACAGACAGAAGCTTTCTGAGAAACTTCTCAGTGATGTGTGCATCCATATCACAAAATTGAACCTTTCTTTTGATTGAGCAGATTCGAAACAGTATTTGTAGCATCTGCAATGGTATATTTGGGAGCCCTTCAAGGTGTATGGTGAAAAAGGAAATATCTTTACATAAAAACTAGACAGAAGCTTTCTGACAAACTTCTTTGTGATGTGTGTATTCATCTCACAGAGTTGAACCTTTCTTTTGATTGAGCAGTTTGGAAACAGTGTTTTTGTAGAATCTGCAAAGAGATCTTTCTGAGCAGTTTGAGGCCTTTGGTGAAAAATGAAATATCTTCATATGAAAACTAGACAGAAGTTTCCTCAGAAACTTCTTTATGATGTGTGCATTCATCTTACAGAGTTGAACGTTTTTTTTGATTGAACAGTTTGGAAACATTCTTTTTGTAGTAACTGCTAAGGGATATTTTCAAGCCCTTTGAGGTCTATGGTGAAAAAGAAAATATCTTCACATAAAAACTAGACAGAAGCTTTCTCATAAACTTCCTTATGAAGTGTGCATTCAACAGACAGAGTTGAATGATTCTTTTGATTCAGCAGTTTGTAAAGAGAGTTTTGGTACAAACAGCAAATGGATATTTCTGAGAGATTTGAGGTATATGATGAAAAAGGAAATATCTTCACATAAAAACTAGACAGAACCTTTCTGAGAAACTACTTTGTGATGTGTGCATTCATCTCACAGAGTTGAACTTTCTTTTCTTGATCAGTTTGGAAATAGCCTTTTGGTAGAATCTGCAAAGGAATGTTTCTGAGCAGTTTGAGTCCTGTTGTCAAAAAGGAAATATCTTCACATAAAAAGTAAACAGAAACGTTCTGAGAAACTTCTTTGTGATGTGTGCATCCATCTAACGGAATTGAACCTTACCTTTCATTGAGGATTTTGGAAACACTCTTTTGGTAGAATCTGCAAAGGGATATTTGTGAGCCCTTTGAGGCCTGTGGTGAAAAAGAAAATATCTTCACATAAAAACTAGTCAGAATCTTTCTCAGTAACTTCTTTGTGATGTGTGCATTCATCACACACAGTCATAACATTTTTTTGATAGAGCAGTTTGGAAAGAGTTTTTTTTGTAGAAACTGCAAGGGGATATTTCTGAGTGGCTTGAGGGCAACTGTGAAAAACAAAATATCTTCACAATCTGCAAAGCGATATTTGGAGCCCTTCGAGTCCTATGGTGAAAAAGGAAATATTTTCTCATAAAACTAGACAGAAACCTTCCGAGGAACTTCTGTGTGATGTGTGCTTTCATCTCAGAGAGTTAAACCTTTCTTTTGATTGAGTAGTTTGGAAACCGTCTTTTTTCAGAATCTGAAAAGAGATATATCTCAGTGATTTGAGGCCTATAGTGAAAAAGGAAATATTTTCAAATTAAAACTAGACAGATTTCTGAGAAACTTCTTTGTGATGAGCGAATTCATCTCACAGAGTTCAAACTTTCTTTTGATTGAGCAGCTTGGAAACACTTTTATCAGAAAGGTTAGCCATTCTTTTGATTGGAGAAAAAGGGAATATCTTCACATAAAAACTAGACAGAAGCTTTCTGAGAAACTTCTTTGTGATGTGTGCATTCGTCTCACGGAGTTGAACCTTTCTTTTCATTGAGTAATTAGGAAACAGTCTTTGTGTAGAATCTGCAAAGGGATATTTGGGAGATCTCTGAGGCCTATGGTGACAAAGGGAATATCTACACATAAAAACTAGACAGAAGGTTTCTGAGAAACTTCTTTCTCAGAAATGATGAGTTCATTCACCTCACAGTGGTGAACCTTTCTTTTGATTCAGCTGTGTGGAAACAGTCTTTTTCTAGGATCTGCAAAGAGATATTTCTGAGTGGTTTCACTCAAACAGTGAAAAAAGAAATTTCTTCACCTAAAAAGTGGACAGAATCTTTCTGAGAAACTTCTTTGATATGTGTGCATTATTCTCAGAGAGTTTGAACCTTTCTTTTGATTGGGTAATTTGGAAACAGTCTTTTTACAGAATCTGCAAAGGGATATTTCTGTACGGATTTAGGCCTATGATGAAAAAATAATTATCTTCACATAAAAAGTAGACAGAATCTTTCTGAGAAGCTTCTTTGTGATGTGGGCATTCATCTCATAGAGTTAAAACTTTCTTTTGATTCAGCAGTTTGGAAACAGTCTTTTTATAGAATCTGCAAAGGGATATTTCTTAGCGGATTGAGGCCCATGGTGAAAAAGGTAATATTTTCATATAAAAACTAGACAGAAGCTTTCTGATAAACTTCTTTGTGATGGGTGGATTCACCTCACAGAGTTGAACATTTCTTTTGATTGAGCAGTTTGGAAACCGTCTTTCTGTAGCATCTGCAAAGGGATACTTGTGGGTGCTTTGAGGCCTATGCTGAAAAAGAAAATATCTTCACATAAAGAAAGACTAGACAGAAGCTTTCTGAGAAACTTCTTTGTGATGGGTGCATTCATCTCACATAGATGAACATTTCCTTTGATTGAGCAGTTTGGAAGCAGTCTTTTTGTAACATCTGCAAAGGGATATTTGAGGGTGCTTTGAGGCCTATGGTGAAAAAGGAAATACCTTCACATAAATATTAAACAGAAGGTTCCTGAGAAACTTCCTTCTCAAAAAACTTCCTTTACAAAAAAAAACAGTCTTTTTGTAAAACTGCAAAGGCATATTTCTGAGCATTTTGAGGCCTATGGTGAAAAAGGAAATATTTTCACATAAAAACTAGACAGAATCTTTCTCAGTAACTTCTTTGTGATGTGTGCATTCATCTCACAGAGTTGAAACATTCTCTTCATTGAGCAGTTTGGAAAGAGTCTTTTTGTAGAATCTGCAAGGGGATATTTCTGAGTGGCTTGAGTGCTACTGTGAAAAACAAAATATCTTCACTATCTGCAAAGGGATATTTGGGAGCCCTTTGAGTCCTATGGTGAAAAAGGAAATATCTTCTCATGGAACTAGAGGGAAGATTTCTGAGTAACTTCTTTGTGATGAGTGCATTCATATCACAGAGTTGAACTTTTCTTTTTATTGAGCAGTTTGGAAACAGTCGTTTTGTACAATCTGAAATGGGATATATCTCAGCGATTTGAGGCCTATGGTGAAAAATGAGGTATCTTCAAATTAAAACTAAACAGAAGATTTCTGAGAAACTTCTTTGTGATGTGCGCATTCATCTCACAGAGCTCAAATTTTCTTATGATTGAGGAGCTTGTAAAAAGTATTTTTGTAGAATCTGCAAAGGGGTATTTGAGGGCACTTTGAGGCCTATGGTGAAAAAGGAAATATCTTCATATAAAAATTAGATGGAAGCTTTCTCAGAAACTCCTTTGTGATGTATACATTAATCGCACAGAGCTTAACCTTTCTTTTGATTGGAGAAGAAAGGAATATCTTCACCTAAAAACTAGGCAGAAGCTTTCTGAGAAACTTCTTTGTGATGTGTGCATTCATCTCACAGAGTTGAACATTTCTTTTCATTGAGCAGTTTGGAAACAATCTTTTTGTAGAATCCGCAAAGGGATATTGGGAGGCCTTTGAGGCCTATGTTGAAGAAGGAAAATCTTCACAAAAAAACTATACAGAAGCGTTCTGAGAAGCTGATTTTTTATGTGTGCATTCATCTCATAAAGTTGAGCCTTTCTTTTGACTGAACAGCTTGGAAAGCGTCTTTTTGTAGAATCTGTAAAGGGACATTTGGGAGCCCTTTGAGGCCCATGGTGAAAAAGGAAATATCTTCACATAGAAAACAGAGAGAAACTTTCTGAGAAAGTTCTTTGTGATGCGTGCATTCACCTCACAAAGTTGAGCATGCTTTTGATTGAGCAGTTTGGAAACATTCTTTTTCTAGAATCCGCAAAGGGATATTTCTTAGTGGTTTGAGGCCTGTGGTGAATAACAAAATAACTTCTATTAAAAACTAGACAGAAGCTTTCTGTGAAAATTCTTTGTGATGTTTGCATTCAACTCACCGAGTTGAACCTTTTCTTTGATAGAGCACTTTGAAAATAGTCTTTTTCTAGAATCTGAAAGGGAATATTTTGGAGCCCTTTGAGTCCTAAGGTGAAAAAGGAAATATGATGTTCACATAAAAACTAGATGGAAGCTTTCTGAGAAAATTCTTTGTGATGTGTACGTTCATCTCACAGAGTTGAACATTTGTTTTGATTTAACAGTTTGGTAACAGTCTTTTTGTAGAATCTGCAATGGGATACTTGGGATCACATTTTAGACCCATGTTGAAAAAGGGAATAGGGAATATCTTCACATAAGAACTAGACAGAATATTTCTGGGAAACTTCTTTGTGTTGTGTGCCTTCATTTCACGGAGTTGAACCTTTCTTTTGATTGAACAGTTTGCAAACAGTCTTTTTGTAGAATCTGCAAAGGGATATTTGGAGTCCTTTGAGGCTTATGGTGAAAAAGGAAATATCTTCACATAAAACCTAGACAGAAGCGTTCTGAGGAATTTTTTTCTGATGTGTGCATTCAACTCACAGAGTTGAACTTTTCTTTTGATTGATAATTTTGGAAACAGTCTTTTTCTGGAATCTGCAAAGGGATATTAGGGATGCCTTTGAGTCTTATGGAGAAAAAGGGAATATCTTCTCCTAAAAATTAGACACAAACTTTCTGAGAAACTTCCTTGTGATGTGTGCATTCATCTCACAGAGTTGCATATTTCTTTAGGGCAGCCTTTTGAGGCCTATTTTGAAAAAGGAATTATCTTCACATCAAAACTAGACAGAAATTTTCTGAGAAGGTCTTTGTGATGTGTGAATTCATCTCACAGAGTTGAAACTTTCTTTTGATTGAGCAGTTTGGAAACAGTCTTTTTGCATAATCTGCAAAGGGAAACTTGGGAGCCCTTTGAGGCCTATGGTGAAAAAGGAAATACCTTCACATAAAAACTAGACAGGAACTTTCACAGAAACTTCTTTGTGATGTGTGCATTCACCTCACAGAGTTTGACTTTTCTTTTGATTGAGCAGTTTGGATACAGTCTTTTTGTAGAATCTACAAAGGGATATTTCTGAGTGGTTTGAGGCCTATGGTGAAAAAGGAGCTATCTTCACATAAAAACTAGACAGAAGCTTTCTGAGAAACTTCTTTGTGATGTGTGCATTCATCTCACAGAGTTGAGTCCTTTCTAGAATCTGTAAAGGGATATTTGGCAGCCCTTTGAGTCGTATTTTGAAAAAGGAATTATCTTCACATCAAAACTAGACAGAAATTTTCTGAGAAGCTCTTTTGTGATGTGTGAATTCATCTCGTAAAGTTGAAACTTTCTTTTGATTGAGCAGTTTGGAAACAGTCTTTTCACATAATCTGCAAAGGGAAACTTGGGAGCACTTTGAGGCCTATGGTGAAAAAGGAAATACCTTCACATAAAAACTAGACAGGAACTTTCGTAGAAACTTCTTTGTGATGTGTGCATTCACCTCACAGAGTTTGACCTTTCTTTTGATTGAGCAGTTTGGATACAGTCTTTTTGTAGAATCTACAAAGGGATATTTCTGAGTGGTTTGAGGCCTATGGTGAAAAAGGAACTATCTTCACATAAAAACTAGACAGAAGCTTTCTGAGAAACTTCTTCGTGATGTGTGCCTTCATCTCACAGAGTTGAGCCTTTCTTTTGATTGAGCAGTTTGGAAACAGTCTTTTTGTAGTATCTGTAAAGGGATATTTGGGAGCCCATTGAGACTTAAGGTGAAAAAGGAAATATCTTCACTTAAAAACTAGAACGATGAGTTCTGGGAAACTTCTTTGTGATGTGTGCATTCATCACAGAGAGTTGACACTGTCTTTTGATTGTGAAGTTTGCACACTGTCTTTTTGTAGGTTCTGCAAAGGAATATTTCTGAGGGGTATGAGACCTATGATGAAAAAGGCAATATCTTCATAAAAAATCTAGGCAGAAACTTTCTGAGAAACTTCTTTGTGATGTGTGCATTCATCTGACAGAGTTGAAACTTTCTTTTCATTGAGCAGTTTGGAAACATTCTTTTTGTAGAATCTGCAAAGAGATATTTGAGAGCCCTTCTAGTCCTATGGTGTAAAAGGAAATATCTTCACATAAAAACTAGACAGAAGCTTTCTGAGGAACTTCTTTGTGATCTGTGCATTCACCTCACAGAGTTGAAACTTTCTTTTGATTGAGCAGTTTGGAAACTGTCTTATTGTAGAATCCACAAAGGGACATTTGGGAGCCCTTTGAGGCCTATTTTGAAAAAGGAATTATCTTCACATAAAAGCTACAAAAAACAGAAGATGGCCAAATAGGAACAGCTCTGGTCTACAGCTCCCAGTGTGAGTGATGCATTTCCATCTGAGGTACCAGGTTCATCTCACTAGGGAGTGCCAGTCCATGGGTGCAGGACAGTGGGTGCAGTGCACCGTGCATGAGATGAGACAAAGCAGGGTGAGGCATTGTCTCACTCAGGAAGTGCAAGGGGTCAGGGAGTTCCCTTTCCTAGTCAAAGAAATGGGTGACAGATGACACCAGGAAAATTGGGTCACTCCCACTCTAATACTGTGCTTTTCCATCAAGCATAAAAAGCAGCACACCAGAAGATTATATCCTGCACCTGGCTCAGAGAGTCCTAGGCCCACGGAATCTCCCTGATTTCTAGCACAGCACTCTGAGATCAAACTGCAAGGTGGCAGCAAGGCTGGGGGAGGGGTGCCTGCAACTGCCCGTGCTTGATAGACAAACAAAGCAGCTGGGAAGCTCGAACTGGGTGGAGCCCACCAAAGATCGAGGAAGCCTGCCTGCCTGTGTAGGCTCCACCTCTGGGGCAGGGCACAGACAATCAAAAAGACTGTAGTAACCTCTGCAGACTTAAAGGTCCCTGTCTGACAGATTTGAAGAGATTAGTGATTCTCTTAGCATGCGGCTAGAGATCTGAGAATGGACAGACTGCCTCCTCAAGTAGGTCCTTCACCACGAACTGCTTAACTGGGAGGCACTCCCCAGTAGGGGCAGACTGACACCTCACCCAGCCGGGTACTCCTCTGAGACAAAACTTCCAGACAAAAGGTCAGGCAGCAGCATATGTGGTTCACAAAGACCTGCTGTTCCACAGCCACTGCTGTTCTACAGCCACTGCTGTTCCACAGCCACTGCTCTTCTGCAGGCACCACTGCTGATACCCAGGAAAACAGTGTCTGGAGTGGACCACTAGCCAACTCCAACAGACATGCAGCTGAGGACCCTGTTTGTTAGAAGGAAAACTAACAAACAGAAAGGGCATCCACACTGAAAACCCTTCTGTACGTCACCATCATCAAAGACCAAAAGTAGATAAAACCACAAAGATGGGGAAAAAACAGCAGAAAAACTGGAAACTCTAAAAAGCAGAGTGCTTCCCCTCCTCCAAAGGAACGCAACTCCTCACCAGCAACAGAACAAAGCTGGACTTTTACAAGCTGAGAGAAGAAGGCTTCAGATGATCGAACTACTCTGAGCTACAGGAGGAAATTCAAACCGATGTCAAAGAAGTTAAAAACTTTGAAAAACAATTGGGCGAATGGATAACTAGAACACCCAATGCAGAGAAGTCCTTAAAGGAGCTGATGGAGCTGAAAGCCAAGGCTCAAGAACTACTTGAAGAATGCAGAAGCCTCAGGAGCTGATGCAATCAACTGGAAGAAAGGGTATCAGTGATGGAACACGAAATGAATGAAATGAAGTGAGAAGAGAAGTTTAGAGAAAAAAGAATAAAAAGAAATGAACAAAGCCTCCAAGAAATATGAGACTATGTGAAAAGGCCAAATCTACGTCTGATTGGTGTACCTGAAAGTGACGGGGAGAATGGAACCAATTTGGAAAACACTCTGCAGGTTATTATCCAGGAGAACTTCATTCAGATTCAGGAAATATAGAAAACGCCTCAAAGATACTCCCCAAGAAATACAACACCAAGACACATAATTGTCAAATTCACCAAAGTTGAAATGAAGCAAAAAAAGGTAAGGGCAGTCAGAGAGAAAGTTCGGGTTAGCCACAAAAGGAAGACCATCACACTAACAGCAGATGTCTTGGCAGAAACTCCACAAGCCAGAAGACAGTGGGGGACAATATTCAACATTCTTAAAGAAAAGAATTTTCAACCTAGAATTTCATAGCCAGCCAAACTAAGCTTCATAAGTGAAAGAGAAATAAAATACTTTACAGACAAGCAAACGCTGAGAGAGTTTGTCACCACCAGGCCTGCCCTAAAAGAAATCCTGAAGGAACACTAAACATGGAAAGGAACAACCGGTACCAGCCACTGTGAAAACATGCCAAAATGTAAAGACCATCAAGGCTAGGAAGAAAACTGCATTAAATAACGAGCAAAATAACCAGCTAACATCATAATGACAGGACCAAATACACACATAAAAATATTAACTTTGAATGTAAATGGGCTAAGCGCTCCAATTAAAAGACACAGACTGGCAAATTGGATAAAAAGTCAAGACCTATTAGTGTACTGTATTCAGGAAACCCATCTCACACACTGAGACACACACAGGCTCAAAATGAAAGGATGGAGGAAGATCTACCAAGCCAATGGAAAACAAAAAATGGCAGGGTTTGCAATCCTAGTCTCAGATAAAACAGACTTTAAACCAACAAATGTCAAAAGAAAAAAAGAAGGCAATTACATAATGGTAAAGGGATCAATTCAACAAGAAGAGCTAACTATCCTAAATGTACATGCACTCAATACAGGGGCACCAAGATTCATAAAGCGCATCCTTAGTGACCTACAAAGAGACTTAGACTCCCACACAATAATAATGGGAGACTTTAACACCCCACTGTCAACATTACATAGATCAAAAAGACAGAAAGTTAACAAGGATATCCAGGAATTGAACTCAGCTCTGCACCAAGCAGACCTAATAGAAATCTACAGAACTCTCCAACCCAAATCAACAGAATATACATTTTCTTCAGCACCACACCACACTTATTCCAAAATTGACCACATAGTTCGAAGTAAAGCTCTCCTCAGCAAATGTAAAAGAACAGAAATTATAACAAACTGTCTCTCAGACCACAGTACAATCAAACTGGAACTCAGGATTAAGAAACTCACTCAAAACCACTCAACTACAAGGAAACTGAACAACCTGCTCCTGAATGACTACTGGGTACACAACGAAATGAAGGCAGAAATAAAGATGTGCTTTGAAACCAACGAGAAAAAAGACACAACATACCAGAATCTCAGGGACACAGTCAAAGCAGTGTGTAGAGGGAAATTTATAGCACTAAATGCCCACAAGAGAAAGCAGGAAAGATCTAAAATTGACACACTAGCATCACAATTAAAAGAACTAGAGAAGCAAGAGCAAACACATTCAAAAGCTGGCAGAAGGCAAGAAATAACTAAAATTAGAGCAGAACTGAAGGAAACAGAGACACAAAAAACCCTTCAAAAAATTAATGAATCCAGAAGCTGGTTTTTTGAAAGGATAAAAAAAAAAAAAGATAGACCGCTAGCAAGACTAATAAAGAAGAAAAGAGAGAAGAATCAAATAGACACAATAAAAAAAGAGAAAGGGGATATCACCACCGATCCCACAGAAATACAAACTACCATCAGAGAATATTATAAACACCTCTATGCAAATAAACTAGAAAACCTAGAAGAAATGGATAAATTCCTCGACACGTACAACCTCCCAAGACTAAACCAGGAAGAAGTTGAATCTCTGAATAGACAAATAACAGGCTCTGAAATTGAGGCAATAATCAAAAGCTTACCAAACAAAATGTCCAGGACCAGATGAAATCACAGCCGAATTTTACCAGAGGTACAAGGAGGAGCTGGTATCATTCCTTCTGAAACTATTCCAATCAATAGAAAAAGAGGGAATCCTCCCTAACTCATTTTATGAGGCCAGCATCATCCTGATACCAAAGCCTGGCAGACACAACAAAAAAGAGAATTTTAGACCAATATCCTTGACGAACATTGATGCAAAAATCCTCAATAAAATACTGGCAAAACGAATCCAGCAGCACATCAAAAAGCTTATCCACCATGATCAAGTGGGCTTCATCCCTGGGATGTAAGCTCGTTCAACATATGCAAATCAATAAACATAATCCAGCATATAAACAGAACCTATGACAAAAAAATACATGATTATCTCAATAGATGCAGAAAAGGCCTTTGACAAAATTCAACAACGTTTCATGCTAAAAACTCTCAATAAATTAGGTATCGATGGGACATATTTCAAAATAATAAGAGCTATCTATTACAAACCCACTGCCAATATCACACTGAATGGGCAAAAACTGGAAGCATTCCCTTTGAAAACTGGCACAAGACAGGGATGCCCTCTCTCACCACTCCTATTCAACATAGTGTTGGAAGTTCTGGCCAGGGCTATTAGGCAGGAGAAGGAAATAAAGGGTATTCAGTTATGAAAAGAGGAAGTCAAATTGTCCTTGTTTGCAGATGACATGATTATATATCTAGAAAACCCCACTGTCTCAGCCCAAAATCTCCTTAAGCTGATAAGCAATTTCAGCAAAGTCTCAGGATACAAAATCAATGTACAAAAATCACAAGCATTCTTATGCATCAATAACAGACAAACAGAGAGCCAAATCACGAGTGAACTCCCATTCACAATTGCTTCAAAGAGAATAAAATACCTAGGAATCCAACTTACAAGGGATGTGAAGGACCTCTTCAAGGACAACTACAAACCACTGCTCAATGAAATAAAAGAGGATACAAACAAATGGAAGAACATTCCATGCTCATGGGCAGGAAGAATCAGTATCATGAAAATGGACATACTGTTCAAGGTAATTTATAGATTCAATGCCATCCCCATCAAGCTACCAATGACTTTCTTCACAGAATTGGAAAAAACTACTTTAAAGTTAATATGGAGCCAAAAAAGAGCCCGCATCACCAAGTCAATCCTAAGCCAAAAGAACAAAGCTGGAGGCATCACGCTACCTGACTTCAAACTATCCTACAAGGCTACAGTAACCAAAACAGCATGGTACTGATAGAAAACAGAGATATAGATCAATGGAGTACACCAGAGCCCTCAGAAATAATGCCACATATCTACAACCATCTGATCTTTGACAAACCTGACAAAAACAAGCAATGGGGAAAGGATTCCCTATTTAATAAATGGTGCTGGGAAAATGGTCTAGCCATATGTAGAAAGCTGAAACTGGATCCCTTCCTTACACCTTATACAAAAATTAATTCAAGATGGATTAAAGACTTACAGATTAGACCTAAAACCATAAAAACCCTAGAAGAAAACCTAGGCATTACCATTCAGGACATAGGCATGGGCAAGGACTTCATTTCTAAAACACTAAAAGCAATGGCAACAAAAGTCAAAATTGACAAATGTGATCCAATTAAACTAAAGAGGTTCAGCACAGCAAAAGAAACTACCATCAGAGTGAGAAGGCAACCTACAAAATGGGAGAAAATTTTTACAACCTACTCATCTGACAAAGGGCTAATAGCCAGAATCTACAATGAACACCAACAAATTTACAAGAAAAAAGCAGACAACCCCATCAAAAAGTGGACGAAGGATGTGAACAGATACTTCTCAAAAGAAGACATTTATACAGCCAAAAAACACATTAAAAAATGCTCACCATCACTGGTCATCAGAGAAATGCAAATCAAACCACAATGAGATACCGTCTCACACCAGTTAGAATGGCGATCATTAAAAAGTCAGAAAACAACAGGTGCTGGAGAGGATGTGGAGAAATAGGAATACTTTTACACTGTTGGTGGGACTGTAAACTAGTTCAACCATTTTGGAAGTTGGCGTGGCAATTCCTCAGGGTTCTAGAACTAGAAATACCATTTGATCCAGCCATCCCACTACTGGACATATACCCAAAGGATTATAAATCATGCTGCTATAAAGACACATGCACACATATGATTTATTGCGGCACTATTCACAATAGCAAAGACTTGGAAACAACCCAAATGTCCAACAATGATAGACTGGATTAAGAATATGTGGCACATATACACCATGGAATACTATGCAGACATAAAAAATGAAGATTTCATGTCCTTTGTAGGGACATAGATGAAACTGGAAACCATCATTCTCAGCCAACTATCGCAAGGAGAAAAAGCAAACACTGTGTGTTCTCACTCATAGGGGGGAATTGAACAATGAGAGCACATGGACACAGGAAGGGGAACATCACACACTGGGGCCTGTTGTGGGGTGGGGGAAGGGGGGAGGGATAGCATTAGGAGATATACCTAATGCTAAATGACGAGTTAATGGGTGCAGCACACCAACATGGCACATGTATACATATGTAACTAATCTGCACATTGTGCACATGTACCCTAAAACTTAAAGTATAATAAAATTAAATTTAAAAAGATACCAAAAAAAATAGCTGGGCATGGTTACCCACAACTATAGTCCTAACTACTTGGGAGGCTGAGGTGGGAGGATTACTTGAGCCGAATATGTTGAGGCTTCACTGAGCTAAGATCTCACCATTGCCCTTCAGCCTGGGCAAGAGAGACACATCTCTGGTTTAGAATTGCTTGGTGACAATTTTTTTTTCAAGCTCCTATTTCCTTCTCCTATGTGAATACAAATGCTATTTTATCCTCCTACTGAAATTCTTTCCACATTTTGCTGTTATCTTCAAAACTCCTGTTGTGGTTTCCGGGTCAAGGTCAGAGGCCATCTTTGTTGTTAGCCTTTCATGGTCTGTTCAGTATGAAACTCTTCTGATTTATTCCTTGTGAGCTTTTCTAGCCTTTCAGTGATAATTATAATATGACCCCTGTGTGGTGATAATTTATATGTGCATCCCACTCTTTGGGCCATAATCACTTTGAATTCAGAAATCATATCTCATACAGAAAAAGTGATCAATAAAATTTGGTGGAATGAAAAAAAACTACAAAAAAGTCTTTTTGCAGAATTTGAAAAGGGATATTTGGGAGTCCTTCGAGGTCTATGGTGAAAAACGAAACATCTTCACATAAAAACTAGACAGAAATATTCTTAGAACATCTTTTGTTATGTGTGTATTCATGTCACAGATTGGAAACTTTCTTTTCATGGAGCAGTTTAGAAACAGTCTTTTTGTAGAATCTGCAAAGGGATATTTGGTAGCCCTTCGAGGCCTACGGTGAAAAGGAAATATCTTCACATAAAAACTAGACAGAAACTTTTCGAGGAACTTCTGTGTGATCTGTGCATTCATCTCACAGAATTTAAATTTTCTTTTGATTGAGCAGTTTGGAAACAGTCATTTTGTAGAATCGGCAAAGGGACATTTGAGGTCGCCTTGAGGTCTATGGTGAAAAGAATTATCTTCACGTAAAAACTAGACAGAAGATTTCTCAGAAACTTCTTTGTGATGCATGCATTCATTTGACACAGTTGAACCTTTCTTTGATTGAGGAGTTTGGAAATAGTATTTTTCTAGAATCCGCAAGAGGATATTTCTGAGCCTTTTGAGGCCTGTGGTGAAAAAGGAAATATCTTCACAAAAAAACTAGGCAGAAGCTTTCTGAGGAACTTCTTTTGATGTGTGCATTCATCTCACGGTGTTGAAACTTTCTTTTGATTAAGAAGTTTGGAAACAGTGTTTTGTAGAATCTTCAAATGGATATTTAGGAGCCCTTCGATTCCTATCATGAAAAAGGAAACATCTTCACACAAAAACTAGACACAAGTATTCTGAGGAACTTCTTTGTGATGTGTATATCCATTTCACAGAGTTGAACCTTTCTTTTGATTCAGCAGTTTGGAAACAGTCTTTTTGTAAAATCTGCAAAGGGATATTTGGGATCCCTTTGAGGCCCATGGTAAAAAAACAAATATCTTCATATAAAAATTAGACAGAAGCTTTCTGAAAAACGTCTTTGTGATGTGTGCATTCATCTCAGAGAGATGAAAATTTCTTTTGATTGAGCAGTTTAGAAACAGTCTTTTTGTAGAATCTGCAAACGGATATTTCTAAGCCGTTTGAGGCCTATGATGAAAAAGGAAATATCTTCACATAAAAAGTAGACAGAAGCTTTCTGAGAAACTTTTTTGTGATGTGCACATTTATCTCACAGAGTTGAACATTTCTATTGATTGAGTAGTTTGGAAACAGTCTTTTTGTAGAATCTGCAAAGGGATATTTCTGAGCAGTTTGAAGCCAATGGTGAAAAAGGAAATATCTTCGCATGAAAACTAGACGGAAGCTTTCTGAGAAACTTCTTTGTGATAAGTGCATTCGTCTCATAGAGTTGAACTTTTCTTTTGATTGAGCAGGTTGGAAAGAGTCCTTTTGTGGAATCTGCAACAGATATCTGGGGGCACTTTGAGGCCTATGGTGAAAAAGAAAATATCTTCACATAAAAACTAGACAGAAGCTTTCTGAGAAACTTCTATGTGATTTGTGCATTCATCTCACAGATTTGAAACTTTCTTTTGAATGAGCCGTTTGGAAACTGTCTTTTTGTGTAATCTACAAAGGGATATTTGGGAGCTCTTTGAGGCCTATGGTGAAAAAGGAATTATCTTCACATAAAAACTAGACAGAAGCTTTCTGAAAAACTTCTTTGTGATGTGTGCATTCATTTCACAGAGTTGAAAATTTCTTTTGCTTGAGCAGCTTGGAGACAGTCTTTTTGTAGAATCTGCAAAGTGATATTTCAGGGTGCTTTGAGGCCTATGCTGAAAAAGGAAATATGTTCACATAAAAACTAGACAGAAGCTTCCTGAGAAACCCCTTAGTGATGCTTGCAGTCACTTCACATGTTTGAACCTTTCTTTTGATTGAGCAGTTTAGAAACAGTTCTTTTGTAGAATCTGCAAAGGGATATTTGTAATCCTTTGAGTCCAATGATGAAAAAGGGAATATCTTCACATAAAAACTAAAGAGAAGCTTTCTGAGAAGCTTCTTTGTAATGCATGCATTCACCTCACAGAGTTGAATATTTCTTTTGGTGGAGCAGTTTGGAAAGTCTTTTTTGTAGAATCTCCAAAAGATATTTTTGAGCGATTTGAGGCCTATTGTGAAAAAGGAAATATCTTCATATAAAAACTAGTCAGATGCTGTCTGTGAAACTTCTTTATGATGTATGCATTCATCTCACAGAGTTGAAACTTTCTTTTGATTGAGCAGTTTGGAAAGAATCTTTTTGTAGAATCTGCAAAGGGATATTTGGAGCCCTTTGAGGCATATGGTGAAAAAGGAAATATCTTCACATGAAAACTAGACAGAAGTTTTCTGAGAAACTACTTTGGATTGTGTACATTCATCTCACAGAGTTGAACTTTTCTTTTGATTGAGCAGCTTGGAAAAGGCTTTCATAAAATCTACAAAGGGATAGTTGGGATCCATTTGCAGCTTATTGTAAAGAAGGAAATATCTTCACATAAAAACTAGACATAAACATTTGGAGAAACTTCTTTTTGATGAGCACATTCATCTCACAGATTTGAAATTTTCTTTTGATTGACCAGTTTTGAAACAGTCTATATGTAGTACCTGCAAAGGTATATTATGCAGAGGATTCAGGCCTATGGTGAAAAAGGAAATATCTTCACATAAAAACTAAGTAGAATCTTTCTGAGAAACTAATTTGTGACGTGTCCATTCATCTCAGAGTTGAAACTTTCTTTTGATTGAGCAGCTTGGAAACATTCTTTATGGACAACATGCAAAGGGATATTTTGGAACCCTTGGAGGCTTACTGTGAAAAAGGAAATATCTTCACATAAAATGTAGACAGAACCTTTCTGAGAATCTTGTTTGTGATGTGTGCATTTATCTCACAGAGTTGAACTTTTTATGATTGAGCAGTTTTTGAAACAGTATTTTTCTAGGATCTGCGAAGTGATATTTGAGGGCACTTTGAGGCCTATGGTGAAAAAGGAAATACCTTCACACAAAAACTAGACAGAAGCTTTCTGAGAAACTGCATTGTGATGCATGCATTCATCTCACAATACTGACCTTTTCTTTTGATTGAGCACTTTGGAAACATTCTTTTTGCAGAATCTGCAAAGGGATATTTCTGAGCTGTTTGAGGCCTATGATGAAAAAGTAAATATCTTCATATAAAAAACAGAGAGATGCGTCTGAGAAACTTCTTTATGATGTGTTCATTCATCTTACAGAATTGAACATTTCTTTTGATTGAGCAGTTTGGAGGCAGTCGTTTTGTGGAATCTGCAAAGTGGTATTTGGGAGCCCTTTGAGATCTACTGTGAAAAAGGAAATATCTTCAGATAAAAAGTAGACAGAAGCTTTCTGAGAAAGTTCTTTATGATGTGTGCATTCATCTCATAGAGTTGCACCTTTCTTTTGATTGAAAAGGTTGGAAATATTCTTTTTATAGAAACTGCAAAGGGATATTTGGGACCCCTTTGAGGCCTACATTGAAAAAGCAGTTATCTTCACTTTAAAACTAGACAGAAATTTTCTGAGATACTCTTTTGTGATATGTGCATTCATCTCGTGGGGTTGAATGTTTCTTTTGATTCAACAGTTTGGAAACAGTCTTTTTCTAGAATCCGCAAAGAGATATTTCAGAACAGTTTGAGGCTTAGGGTGAAAATGGAAATATTTTCACATAAAAACTACACAGAAGCTTTCTGAGAAACCTCTTTGTGATGGTTGCACTCATCTCACAGAGTTGAAACTTTCTTTTAATTGAACATTTTGGAAACAATCTTTTGGTAGAATCTTCAAAGGGATTCTACTGAGTGGTCTGAGGCCTATGGTGAAAAAGAAAATATCTTTGCAAAAAACTAGACAGAAGCTTTCTGAGAAACTTCTGTCTGATGTTTGCATTCATCTCACAGAGTTGAACCTTTCCTTTTAATTGAGCAGTTTGGAAACAGTCTTTTTGTAGTATCTGCAAAGGATATTTGGGAGCCCTTCGAACCCTGTGGTGAAAAAGGAAATACCTTCACATAAAAATTACAAAGAAGCTTTCTGAGGAACTTCTTTGTGATGTTTGCATTCATCTCACAGAGTTCAATCTTCCTTTTGATTGAGCTGTTTAGAAAGATTCTTTTTGTGGAATCTGCAAAGTGATATTTGAGGGTGCTTTGAGGGCTATGGTGAAAAAGGAAATATCTTCACATAAAACCTAGACAGAAGCTTTCTGAGAAACTTCTTTGTGATGTGTGCATTCATGTCAAAGAGTTGAAATTTTCTTTTCATTGAGCAGTTTGGAAACAGTCCTTTCTAGAATCAGCAAAGTGATATTCGGGAGCCCTTTGAGGCCTATTTTGAAAAAGAAATTATCTTCACATAAAAACTAGATAAAATTTTTCTGAGAAACTCTTTTATGATGTGTACATTCATCTAGAAGAGTTGAACCTTTCTTTTGATTGAGCAGTTTGGATACAGTCTTTTTGTAGAATCCACAAATTGATAATTGGGAGCCCTTTGAGGCCTATGGTGAAAAAGGAAATACCTTCACATACAAATTAGACAGAAGATTTCTGAGTAACTTCTGTGTAATGAGTGCATTCATCTCACAGAGTTGAACTTTTATTTTGCTTGAGCAGTTTGGAAACAGTCTTTTTGTAGAATCTGCAAAGGGATATTTGGAGCCCTTCTAGGCCTATGGTGAAAAAGGAAATATCTTCACATAGAAACTAGACAGAAGCTTTCTGAAGAACCTCTTTTTGATATGTGCATTCCTCTAACAGAGTTGGATATATATTTTGATTGAGCAGTTTTGAAACAGTCCTTTTCTACAATCTGCAAAGGGATATTTGGGACCCCTTTTAAGCCCCCATTGAAAAAGGAGTTATCTTCACTTTAAAACTAGACAGAAATTTGCTGAGATACTCTTTTGTGATGTTTGCATTCATCCCGCAGAGTTGGACCTTTCTTTCAGTTGAGCAGTTTGGATGCTGTCTTTTTCTAAAATCTGCAAAGGGATATTTCAGAGCGGTTTGAGGTCTATGGTGAAAAAGGAAATATCTTCACATAAAAACTAGACAGAAGCATTCTGAGAAACTGCTTTGTGATGAATGCATTCATCTCAGAGAGTAGAAACTTTCTTTTGATTGAGCAGTTTGGAAACGGTCTCTTGGTAGAATCTGCAAGGTGACATTTCTGAGCAGTTTGAGGCCTATTGTGAAAAAGGAAGTATCTTTGCAAAAAACTAGAAAGAATCTTTCTGAGAATCTTCTTTGTGATGTGTGCATTCATCTCGCAGAGTTGAAACTTTCTTTTAATTCAGCAGTTTGGAAACAGTCTTTTTTTAGAATCTGTAAAGGATATTCAGCAGCCCTTCAAGTCCTATGGTGAAAAAGGAAATATCTTCACATAAAAACTAGACAGAAGCTTTCTGAGGAACTTCTTTGTGATATGTGCATTCATATCATAGAGTTGAAACTTTCTTTTTATTGAGCAGTTTGGAAACAGTCTTTTTGTAGAATCTGCAAAAGATATTTTGGAGCCCTTTGAGTTCTATGGTGAAAAAGGAAATAACTATGCATAAAAACTTGACAGAAGGTTTCTGAGAAACTTCTTTGTGATGTGTGCATTCAACTCAGAGTTGAAAATTTCTTTTGATTGAGCAGTTTGGAAACAGTCTTTTTCTTGAATCTGGAAAGGGATGTTAGGGATCCCTTTGAAGCCCACTGTGAAAAACGGACAGAAACCAGACAGAAACTTTCTGAGAAACATCTTTGCGATGTGTGCATTCACCTCACAGACTTTAACCTTTCTTTTGATTGAGCAGTTTGGAAACAGTCCTTTTCTAGAATCTGTAAAGGGATATTTGGGAGCCCTTTGAGGCCTATATTGAAAAAGTAATTATCTTCACATAAAAACTAGACAGAAACTTGATGAGAAACTCTTTTTTGATGTGTGAATTCATCTCGCCGAGTTGAAACTTTCCTTTGATGGAGTGATTTGGAAACATACTTTTTGAGGAAGATGCAAGGTGATATTAAAGGGAGCTTTGAGGCCTATGGTGAAAAAGGAAATATCTTCACATAAAAACTAGAGAGAAACTTTCTGAGAAACTTCTTTGTGCTGTGTGCATACATCTCACAGAGTTGAAACTTTCTTTTGATGGAACAGTTTGGACACAGTCTTTTTGTAGAATCTGCAAAGGGATATTTTGGAGTGGTTTGAGGACTATGATGAAACAGGAAATATCTTCACATAAAAACTAGACTGAAATTTTCTGAGAAACTTCCTTGTGATGTGTGCATTCATCTCACAGAGTTGAATCTTTTTTTATTGAGCAGTATGGAGACATTCTTTTTGTAGGATATGTAAAGGGATATTTGGAAGCTCTTTGAGGCCTATGGTGAAAAAGGAAATATCTTCATATAAAAACTAGACAGAAACTTTCTCAGAAACTTCTTTGGGATGCGTACATTAATCTCACAGATTTGAACATTTCTTTTGATTGAGAAGCTTGGAAACCATCTATTTGTAGAATCTGCAAATGGATATTTCAGAGCGGATCGTGGCATACTTTGAAAAAGGAAATATCATCACATGGAAACTAGACAGAAGCTTTCTGAGAAACTTCCTAGTGATGTGAGCATTCATATCACACAGTTGAACTTTTCCTTTCATTGAGAAGTTTGGAAACAGTCTTTTTGGATAATCTTCAAAGTGATATTTCTGAGCGGTTTGAGGCCTAATGTGAAAAAAATGAAATATCTTCACATAAAAACTAGACAGAAACTTCCTGAGAAACTTCTTTGTGATGGGTGCATTCATCTCCCACACTTGAACTATTCTTTTGATTGAGCAGTTTGGAAACCGTCTTTTTGTAGAATCTGCAAAGGGATATTTCTGAGTGGATTGAAGCCTACGGTAAAAAAGGAAGTACCTTCACATAAAAGCTAGACAAAATCATTCTGAGTAACTTCTTTGTGATACGTGAATTCATCTCACAGAGTTGAACCTTTCTTTTGATAGAGCAGTTTGGAAACCATCTTTTTGTAGAATCTGCAAATGGATATTTGGTATCCCTTTGATGCCTGTGGTGAAAAAGGAAATATCTTCACATAAAAACTAGACAGAAACATTCTGAGAAACTTCTTGTTAATTTTTCCATTCATCTCACAGAGTTGAACCATTCTTTTGATTGAGCAGTTTGGAAACCTTCTTTTTGTAGAATCTGCAAAGGGTTATATCTGAGTGATTTGAGGCCTATGGTGAAAAAGGAAATATCTTCAAATGAAAACTTCACAGAAGCTTTCTGAGAAACTTCTTTGTGATGTGTGCATTCATCTCACACAGTTGAACCTTTCTTTCGATACAGCAGTTTGGAAACAGTCTTTTTGTAGAGCTTGCAAAGGGATATTTGGGAGACCTTTGAGGTCTATGGTGAAAATGGAGATATCGTCATGTAAATATCGGACAGATGCTTTCTCAGAAACTTCTTTGAGATGTGTGCATTCATCTCACAGAGTAGAAACTTTCTTTCAATTGAGCAGTTTGGAAACAGTATTTTTGTAGAATCTGCAAAGGGATATTTGGGAGCCCTTTGAGGCCTATGGTGAATAAGAAATATCTTCACATAAAAACTAGAGAGAAGCTTTCTGAAAAACATCTTTGTGATGCCTGCATTCATCACACATAGTTGAAACTTTTTTTTGATTGAACAGTTTGGAAACAGTCTTTTTGTAGTATCTGCAATGGGATATTTGGGAGTCCCTTGAGGCCTACGGTGGAAAAGGAAATAACTTCACATAAAAACCAGACAGAAGATTTCTCATAAGTTTCTTTGTGATGTGAGCTTTCATCTCACAGTGTTAAATATTTCTTTGGATTGAACAGTTTGGAATCATTGCTTTGCTACAATCTGTAAAGGGATATTTGGGAGCCCTTTGATGCCTATTTTGAAAAGGATTTATCTTCACATAAAAACTAAACAGAAATTATCTAGGATACCCTTTTGTGATGTGTGCATTCATCTCGCAGATTTGAACCTTTCTTTTGATTGAGCAGGTTGGCAACAATCTTTTTTGGAATCTGAAAAGTGATATTTCATGTCACTTTGAGGCCTATGGTGAAAAAGGAAATATCTTCATATGATAACTAGACAGCAGCTTTCTGAAAAACTTCTTTGTGATGTGTGCATTCACCTCACAGATTTTAAACTTTCTTTTGATTGAGCAGTTTAGAAATAGTCTTTTTGTAGAATCTGCAAAGGGGTATTTCTGAGCGATTTTAGGCATATATTGATAAAGGAAATATCTTTGCAAAAAAACAGACAGACGCTTTCTGAAAAACTTCTTTGTCATACGTGCATTCATCTCACAGAGTTGAACCATTCTTTTGATTGAGCAGCTTGGAAACAGTCTTTTTATAGAATCTGCAAAGGGATATTTAGGGTGCATTGTGGTCTATGTTGAAAAAGGAAATATCTTCACATAAAAATTAGACAGAAATTTTCTGCAAAATTTCTTTGTGATGCATGCATTCATCTCACAGAGTTAAATCTTTCTTTTGATTGAGCAGTTTGGAAACAGTCTTTTTGTAAAATCTGCAAAGGGATATTTGGGATCCCTTAGAGGCCTGTGGTGAAAAAGGAATTATCTTCACATAAAAACTAGACAGAAGCTTTCTAAGAAACTTCTTTGTGATGCTTGCATTCATCCCACAGAGTTGAACCATTCTTTTGATTGAGCAGTTTGGAAACTGTCTTTTGTAGACTCTGCAAAGGAATATTTGAGTGCCCTTAGAGGCCTATGGTGAAAAGGGAAATATCTTCACATAAAAACTGGACCGAAGATTTCTGAGAAACTTCTTTGTGATGTGTGCATTCATCTCACAGAGGTGAAACGTTCTTTTGATTTAGCAGCTTATGTCTTTTTGTAGAATCTGCAAAGGGATACTTGAGGTTGCTTTGAGGCCTATGGTGAAAAATGAAATATCTTCACAATAAAACTAGAGAGAAGCTTTATGCAAAACTTCTTGGTGATGTGTGCATTCATCACACAGAGATGAGCCTATCTTTTCGTAGACCGGTGTGGAAACTGTCTGTTTGTAAAATCTGCAAGGGGATATTTTGGATCCCTGTGAGGCCTATGGTGAAAAAGGAGATATATACACATAAAAACTAGACAGAAGCTTACTGAGAATCTTCTTTCCATTGCATGCATTCATCTCACAGAGTTGAAACTTTGTTTTGATTGAGCAGTTTGGAAACATCCTTTTTGTAAAATCTGCAAAGGGATATTTGGGAGACATTTGAGGTCAATGGTGAAAAAGGAAATATCTTCACATAAAAACTAGACAGAAGATTTCTGAGTAAATTATTTGTGATGCTTGCATTCCTTTCACAGAGTTGAACCTTGCTTTTGATTGAGGAGTTTGGAAACCATCTTTTTGTAGCATCTGCACAGGGATAATTGGGATACCTTTGAGGCCCATGGTGAGAAAGGGAATATCTTCATATAAAAACTAGAAAGAAGATTTCTGAGAAACTACTTTGTGATGTGTGCTTTCACCTCACAGAGTTCAACCTTTCTTTTCATTGAGCAGCTTGGAAACAATCATTTTGTTGAATCAGCAAAGGGATATTTGAGGAGGCTTTGAGGTCTATACTAAAATGTAAATATCTTCACATAAAAACTAGAGAGAAGCTTTCTTAGAAACTTCTTTGTGATGTGTGCATTCATCTCACAGATTTGAAGATGTGTGAATTCATCTCACAGAGATGAAACTTTCTTTTCATTGAGCAGTATGGAAAGACTCTTTTTGTAGAGTCTGCAAAGGGATATTTCTGACATGTTTGAGACCTGTGGTGAAAAAGGAAATGTCTTCACATAAAAACCAGACAGAAGCTTTCTGAGAAACTTCTTTGTGATGTGTGCATTCATCTCACAGATTTGAAGATGTATGAATTCATCTCACAGAGATGAAACTTTCTTTTGATTGAGCAGTATGGAAAGACTCTTTTTGTACAGTCTGCAAAGGGATATTTCTGACATGTTTGAGACCTGTGGTGAAAAAGGAAATGTCTTCACATAAAAACCAGACAGAAGCTTTCTGAGAAACTACTTTGTGATAAGTGCATTCATCTCACAATGTTGAACATTTTTTTGAATTAGCGGTTTGGAAACATTCTTTTTATAGAATCTGCAAAGGGACATTTGGGAGACCTTTGAGGCCTATGGCGAAAAGGGAAATATATTTATATAAAAACTAGACAGAAGCTTTCTGAGATATTTATTTGTGATGCGTGTATTCATGTCACAGAGTTGAAATATTCTTTTGATTGAGCAGTTTAGAAAGAGTTTTTTTTTTGTAGAATCTGCAAAGGGATATTTGGGAGCCCTTTGAGGCCTGTGGTGAAAAAGAAAATATCTTCACATAAAAACCAGACAGAAGCTTTCTCAGAAACTTCTTTGGAATGTGTGCATTCATCTCACAGGGTAGAAACTTTCTTTTGATTGAGCAGGTTGGAAACAGTCTTTTTGTAAAGTCTGCAAAGAAATATTTCTGAGTGGTTTGAGGCCTACGGTGATAAAGTAAATATCTTCACAAAAAAACTAGACAGAAGCTTTCTGAGAAACTTCTTTGTGATGTGTGCATTCATCTCACAGATTTGAAGAAGTGTGCATTCATCTCACAGTGTTGCAACTTTCTTTTGATTGCACAGTTTGGAAACAGTCTTTTTGTGGGATCTGCAAAGGAATATTTCTACGCGGTGTGGGGCTTATGGTGAAAAAGGAAGTATCTTCACGTAAAAACTAGACAGAAGCTTTCTGAGAAACTTCTTTGTTTTGTGTTCCTTCAACTGACAGAGTTGAAACTTTATTTGATTGAGCAGTGTCAAAACAGTCTTTCTGTAGAATCCGCAAAGAGATATTTGACAGCATTTTTGGGCCTATTTTGAGAAATGAAATATCTTCACATACAAACTAGACAGAATCTTTCTGAAAAACTTATTTGTGATGCGAGCATTCATCTCACAGAGTTGAAACTTCTTTTGATTGAGCAGTTTGGAAACAGTCTTTTTGTAGAATCTGCAAAGGGATATTTCTCAGTGGTTTGAGGCCTATGGTGAAAAAGGAAATACCCTGACAAAAAACTAGACAGAAGTCTTCTGAGAAACTTCTTTGTAATCTTTGCATTCAACTCACAGAGTTGAAACTTTCTTTTGATTGAGCAGTTTGGAAAGAGTTTTTGTAGTATCTGCAAAGGGATATTTGGGAACCCTTTGAGGCCTATGGTGAAAAAGGAAATATCTTCACAGAAAAACTAGTCAGAAGCCTTCTCAGAAACTTCTTTGTGATGTGTGTATTCATCCCACAGAATTGAACCTTTCTTTTGATCAAGCAGTTTCAAAGCACTCTTTTTCTACAATCGGCAAAGGGATATTTGGGAAATGTTTGAGGCCTATTTTGAAAAAGAAATTTACTTCACATAAAAACTAGACCGATTTTTTTCTCAGAAATTGTTTTGTGGTTTATGCATTCATCTAGAAGATGTGAACCTATTTTTGATTGAGCAGTTTGGAAACAGTCTTTTTAGAATACGCAAAGGGATGTTTCTGAGATATTTGTGGCCTAAGGTGAAAAAGGAAATATCTTCACATAAAAACTATACAGAAGCTTTCTGAGAAGCTACTTTTTGATGTATGCATTCATCTCACAGAGTTGAAACTTCCTTTTGACTGAGTAGTTTGGAAACAGTCTTTTTCAACCATCTACAAGTGATTTTTGTGAGCTGTTTGTGGCCTATGTTGAAAAAGGAAATATCTCAACATAAAAACTAGACAGAAACATTCTGAGAAACTTCTTTGTTATGTGTGCATACATCTCACAGAGTTGAACCTTTCTTTTGATTGAGCATTTTGGAAACAGTCTTTTTCTATAATCTGCAAAGGGATATTTTGGAGCCCTTTGAGGACTATGGTGAAAAAGGATATATATTCACATAAAAACTAGACAGAATATTTCTCAGGAACTTCTGTGTGATGTGTGCATTCATCTCACAGAGTTGAACGTTTCTTTTGATTGAGCACTTTGGAAACAGTCTTTTTCTAGAATCTGCAAAGGGATATTCCTCAGCAATTTGAGGCCTAAGGTGAAAAAAAGGAAATATCTTCACATAAAAAATAGACAGAAGCTTTCTGAGGAACTTCTTTGTGATGTGTCAATTCATCTCAGAGAGTTCAACTTTTCTTTTGATTGGGCAGTTTTGAAGCAGTCTTTTTGTAAAATCTGCGAACTGACATTTGCCATCCCTTTGAGGCCTATGGTGAAAATGAAATATATTCACATAAAATCTAGACAGAAGTTTTCTGAGAAACTTCTTTGTGATGTGTGTATTCATCTCCAAGAGCTGAACCTTTCTTTTGATTAACAGTTGGGAAACCATCTTTTTGTAGAATCTGCAAATGGATATTTCTGAGCAGTTTGAGACCTATGTTGAAAAAGGAAATATCTTCACATAAAAACTACACAGAAGCTTTCTGAGCAACTTCTTTGTGATGTGTACATTCATCTCATGGAGTTCAAACTTTCTTTTGGTTGAGCAGTTTGGGAACAGTCTTTTTGTAGAATTTCCAAAGGGATGTGTGGGAGCCCTTTGAGGCAAATGGTGAAAAATGAAATATCTTCACATAATAACTACAGAGAAGCATTCTGAGATACTTCTTTGTGGTACGTGCATTCATCTCACAGAATTGAAATTTTCTTTTGATTGAGCAGTTTTGAAACACTCTTTTTGGAAAATCTGAAAGTGGATATTTGTAGCGTTTAGAGGCCTATGGTGGAAAAGGAAATATCTTCAAATAAAAACTAGATAGAAGCTTTCTGAGAAACGTTTCTGTTATCCATGAATTCATCTCAGAGTTGAAACTTTCTTTTGGTTGAGCAGTTTGGAGACAGTCTTCTTTTCAATCTGCAAAGTGATATTCTGAGCGGTTTGAGGCCTATGGTGAAAAAGGAAATATCCTCACAGAAAAACAGAAAGAAGCTTTCTGAGAAACTTTGTGATGTGTGCATTCATCTCACAGAGTTGAACCTTTCTTTTGATTGAGCAGTTTGGAAACAGTCTTTTTGTAGAATCTGCAAAGGGACATTTGGAAGCCCTTCGAGGCATATGGTGAAAAAGGAAATATCTTCACATAAATAGTAGACAGAAGCTTTCTGAGAAACGTCTTTGTAATGTATACATTCATCTCAAAGAGTTGAAATTTTCTTTTTATTGAGCAGTTTGGAAACAGTCTTCTTGTAGAATCTGCTAAGGGACACTTCAGGGTGCTATGAGGCCTACCATGGAAAGGAAATATCTTCAGATAAAAAATAGACAGAAGATTTCTGAGAAACTTCTTTTTGATGTGTGCATTCATCTCACAGAGTTGAACCTTACTTTTGATTGAACAGTTTAGATACAGTCTTTTTGTAGAATCTGCAAAGGGATATTTAGGAACCCCTTGAGCCCCATGGCAAAAAAGAAAATATCATCACCTAAAACGTAGACAGAATCTTTCTCAGAAACATCTTTGTGATGTGTGCATTCATCTCACAGAGTTGAAACTTTCTTTTGATTGAGCAGTTCGGAAACAGGCATTTTATAGGATCTGCTAAGGGATACTTCTCAGCTGTTTGAGGCCTATGGTGAAAAAGGAAATATCTTCATATAAAAAATAGACAGAAGCTTCCTGAGAAACTTCTTTGTAATGTGTGCATTCATCTCACAGAGTTGAAACTTCCTTTTGATTGAGCATTTTGGAAAGAGTCTTTTTCTAGAATCTGCAATGTGATATTTCTGATTGCTTTCAGGCCTATGGTGAAAAAGGAAATATGTTCACCTAAACACTAGACAGGAGCTTTCTGAGAAACTTCTTTATGATGTGTGCATTCTTCTCACGGAGTTGAACATTTCTTTTCATTGAGCAGTTTGGAAACAGTCTTTTTGTGGAATCTGCAAAGGGATTTTTGAGGGTGCTTTGAGGCATATGGAGAAAAAGGAAATATCTTCACATAAAAACTAGAAAGAAACTATCTGAGCAACTGCTTTGTGATGCATACATTCATCTCACAGAGTTCAAACTTTCTTTTGATTGAGTAGTTTGGAAACAGTCTTTTTCTAGAATCTGCAAGGGGATATTTCTGAGCCGTTTGAGGCCTATGGTGAATAAGGAAACATTTTCACATAAAAACTAAACAGAAACTTCCTGATAATCTTCCTTGTGATGTGTGCATTCAACACACAGATTTGAAATTTTGTTTTCAATGAGCAGTTTGGAAACAGTATTGTTGTAGATTCTGCAAAGGGATATTTGGGATCCCTTTGAGGCCTATGGTGAAAATGAAAATGTCTTCACATAAAAACTACACAGAAGCTTTCTGAGGAACTTCTTTGGATGTGTGCACTCATCTCACAGAGTTGATCCTTTGTTTTGATTGAACAGTTTGGAAACAGTCTTTTTGTTGAAGTTGCAAAGGGATACATGGAAGCCCTTTGAGGCCTATGCTGAAAAAGTAAATATCTTCACATAAAAGCTAGACACGGACGGGCACGGTGGCTCATGCCTGTAATTCCAGCACTTTGGGAGGCCGAGGCACATGGATCACGAGGTCAGGAGATCGAGACCGCGGTGAAACCCTGTCTCTACTAAAAATACAAAAAGTTAGCCGGGTGTAGTGGTGGGTGCCTGTAGTCCCAGCTACTCGGGAGGCTGAGGCAGGAAAATGGTGTGAACATGGGAGGCGGAGCTTGCAGTGAGCCAAGATCACGCCACTGCACTCCAGCCTAGGTGACAGAGTGAGACTCCGTCTCAAAAAAAAAAAAAAAAAAGCTAGACACAAGCTTTCTCAGAAACTTCTTTGGGATATGTGCTTTCATCTCACATAGTTGAACCTTTCTTTTGATTGAGCAGTTTGGAAACAGTCTTTTTGTAGAATCTGCAAAGGGATATTTCTGAAAGGTTTGAGGCCTATGGAGAAAAAGGAAATAACGTAATATAAAAACTAGACAAAAGTTTTCTGAGAAACATCTTTGACATGTGTGCATTCATGTCACAGAGTTGAATCTTTCTTTTGTTTTATCAGTTTGGAAAGAGTCTTTTTGTAGAATCTGCAAAGGGATATTTCTGAGCAGTTTGAGGCCTATGGTGAACAAGGAAATATCTTCACATAAAAACTAGACAAAAGCTTTCTGATAAACTTCCTTGTGATGTGTGCATTCAACTCACAGATTTGAAATTTTGTTTTCAATGAGCAGTTTGGAAACAGTATTTTTGTGGATTCTGCTAAGGGTTATTTGAGATCACTTTGGGTTCTATGGTGAAAAAAGAAATATCTTCACATAAAAACTAGATAGAAATTTTCCTAGCAATTTCTTTGTGATGCATACATTCATCTCACGGAGGTGAAATTTTCTTTTGATTGAGCAGTTTGGAAACAGTCCTCTTGAACAATCTGCAAAGGGACATCTCTGAGCTGTTTGAGGCCTATGGTAAAACAGGAAATATCTTCACATAAAAACTGGACAGAAGATTTCTGAGAAACTTCTTTGTAATGAGTGCATTTATCTCACAGTGTTGAACTTTTCTTTTGATTGAGCAGTTTGGAAACACTCGTTTTGTAGTAACTGCAAATGGATATTTGGAGCGCTTTGAGGCCTATAGCTGAAAAGGAAATATCTTCACATAAAAACTAGACAGAAGATTTCTGACAAACTTCTTTTCAATGAGTGCATTCATCTCACAGTGTTGAACCTTTCTTTTGATTGAGTAGTTTGGAAATACCCTTTCTGTAGAATCTGCAAAGGGAAATTTCTGGGCGCTTTGAGGCCTATGGTGAAAAAGGAAATATTTTCACATAAAATCTAGACAGAAGATTTCTGAGAAACTTCTTTGTGAGATGTGCATTCATCTCATGGAGTTCAAATTTTCTTTTGATAGTACAGTTTGGAAACACTCCTTTTGTATAAAATGCAAAGGGATGTTTAGGAACTCTTTGGGGCCTATGGTGAAAAAGGAAATATCTTCACATAAAAAATAGCCAGAAGCTTTCTGAGAAACTTCTTTGTGATACGTGCATTCATCTCACAGATTTGAAACTTTCTTTTGATTAAACAGTTTGGAAACTGTCTTTTTGTAGAATCTGCAAAGGGATATTTGGGAGCCCCTTGAAGCCCATGGTGAAAAAGGTAATATCTTCAAATAAAAACTAGACAGAATCTTTCCGAGAAACTTCTTTGGATGTGTGCATTCTCCCACAGAGTTGAACTTTTCTTTTGATTGAGCAGTTTGTGAAAAGTATTTTTCTAGAATCTACAAAGGGATATTTCTGAGCATTTTGAGGCCTACAGTGAGTAAGGAAATATCTTCACATAAAAACTAGACGGAAGCTTTCTGAGAAACTTCCTTGTGATGTGAACATTCAACTCACAGAGTTGAAATTTTCTATTGAATGAGCAGTTTGGAAACAATATTTTTGTAGAATCGGCAAAGGGATATTTGGATTCCCTTTGAGGCTTATGGTGAAAAAGGAAATATCTTCACAAAAATACTAGACAGAAGCTTTCTCAGAAACTTATTTCTAATGTGTGCATTCATCTCACAGAGTGGAACCTTTTCTTTGATTGAGCATTTTGGAAACAGTCTTTTTGTACAATCTGCAAAGGGATATTTCTGAGCGTTTTGAGCCTTATGGTGAAAAAGGAAATGTCTTCACATAAAAACTAGACAGAAGCTTTCTGAGAAACTTCTTTGTGATGTGTGCCTTCATCTCAAAGTGCTGAACCTTTCTTTTGATTGAGCAGTTTGGAAACAGTCTCTTTGTCAAATCTGCAAACAGATATTTCTGAGTGCTTTGAGGCGTATGGTGAAAAAGTAAATATCTTCATATAAAAACTAGACAGAATATTTCTGAGAAACTTCTTTGAAATCAGTGCATTCATCTCACAGAGTTGAACCTTTCATTTGATGGAGCAGTTTGGAAACAGTCTTTTTCTAGAATCTGCAAAGGGATATTTCTGAGCAGTTTGAGGCCTATGGTGAAAAAGTAATATCTTCATATAAAAACCAGAGGGAAGTTTCTGAGAAACATCGTTGTGATGTGTGCATTCATCTCACAGAGTTGAACCTTTCTTTTGATTCAACAGTATGGAAACACTCTTTTTCTAGAATCTGCAAGGGGATATTTCTGAGCAGTTTGAGGCCTTTGTTGAAAAAGGAAATATGTTCAACTAAAAACTAGACAGAAGCTTTCTGAGAAGCTTCTTTGTGATCTGTGCATTCATCTCACGGAGTTGAAACTTTCTTTTCATTGATTAGTTTGGAAACAGTCTTTTTGTAGAATCTGAAAAGGGATATTTCTGAGCAGTTTCAGGCCTATGGTGAAAAAGGAAATATCGTCACAAAAAAATAGAAACTTTCTGATAAACTTCTTGGTGATGTGTGCATTCCTCTCCACCAGTTGAACCCTACTTTTCATTTAGCAGTTTGGAAATAGTCTTTTTGTAGAATCTGCAAATGGATATTTTGGAGCCCTTCGAGGCCTATGGTGAAAAAGGAAATATCTTCACATAAAAACTAGACAGACGCTTTCTGAGGAACTTTTTTTGATGTGTGCATTCATCTCACACAGTTGAATTTTTCTTTTCATTGAGCAGTTTGGAAATACTTTTTGTAGAATCTGCAAAGGGACACTTATGGGCGCATTGAGGCCTATGGTGGAATAGGAAATATCTTCACATAAAAAGTAGACAGAAGCTCTCTGAGAAACTTCTCTGTGATGCATGCATTCATCTCACAGAGTTGAAATTTTCTTTTGACTGCGCAGTTTGGAAACAGTCTTTTTCTAGAATCTACAAAGGGATGTTTGGGAGCCCTTTGAGGCCTATGATGAAAAAGGAAATATCTTAACATAAAAACTAGACAGAGCTTTCTGAGAAACTTCTTTGTGATGTGTACATTCATCTCACAATGTTGAAAGTTTCTCTGATTGAGCAGTTTGGATACAATCTTTTTGTAGAATCTGCAAAGGGAAATCTGGGAGCCCTTTGAGGCCTATGGTGAAAAGGAAAATATGTTCACAAAAAACTAGACAGACGCTTTCTGAGAAACTTCTTTGTGATGGGTGCCTTCAGCTCACAGTGTTGAACATTCCTTTTGATTGAGCAGTTTGGAAACAGTCTTTTTGGAGAACCTGCAAAGGGATATTTGGGATCCCTTTGAGGTCTCTGGTGAAAAAGGGAATATCTTCACATAAAAACTAGACAAAAGTTTTCTGAGAAACTTCTTTGAGATGTGTGCATTCATCTCACAAAGTTGAACATTTCTTTTGATCTAGCAGTTTTTCAACAGTCTTTTTGTAGAATCTGCAAAGGGACATTTCTGAGCGGATGGAGGCCTATGGTGAAAAAGGAAATACCTTCACAAAAAACTAGACAAAAGCTTTCTGAGAAACTTCTTTGTTATGTGTGCATTCATCTCATAGAGCTGGACCTTTCTTTTGATTGAGCAGTTTGGAAACAGTCTTTTTCTAGAATCTGCAAAGGGATATTTCTGAGCGGATTGAGGACTATGGTGAATAAGGAAATAACTTCACATATAAAGTATACAGAAACTTTCTGAGCAACTTCTTTTTGATGTTTGCATTCTACTCATAGAGTTGAATTTTTCTTTTTATTGAGCAGTTTGGAAACAGTCTTTTTTAGTATCTGCAAAGGGGAATTTTGGAAACCTTTGAGGCCTATGGAGAAAAAGGAATATCTTCACTTAAAAACTAGCTTTCTGTGAAACTTCTTTTTGATGTGTGCATTCATCTCACACAGTTTGACCTTTCTTTTGTTTGAGCAGTTTGGAAACAGTCTTTTTCTACAATCTGCAAAGGGATATTTCAGAGCAGTTTGAGGCCTATGGTGAATAAGGAAATATCTTCACATAAAAACTAGACAGAAGCTTTCTGAGAAACTTCTTTGTGATGTGTGCATTCAACTCACAGAGTTGAACTTTTCTTTTGATTGAGCAGTGTGGAATGTCTTTTTGTAGAATATGAAAAGGGATATTTGTGAGCCCTTTGAGGCCTGCAGTGAAAATGGAAATATGTACACATAAAAACTAGACAGAAGCTTTCTGAGAAACTTCTTTGTCATATGTGCATTCATCTGACAGTTTTATCTTTCTTTTGATGGAGCAGTTTGGAAACAGTCTGTTTCTACAATCTGCAAAGGGATATTTCTGAGCAATTTGAGGCCTACGGTGAATAAGGAAATATCTTCAAATAAAAATTAGACAGAAGCATTCTGAGAAACTACTTTGTGATGTGTGCATTCAACTCACAGTGTTGAACTTTTGGTTTGATTGAGCAGTTTGGAAAGTTTATTGTAGAATCTGCAAAGTGATACCTGTTAGCCCTTTGAGGTCTATGGTGAAAGTGGAAATATGTTCATATAAAAACTGGACAGGAGCTTTTTGAGAAAATTCTTGGTGATGTGTGCATTCATCTCTCAGATTTGCAATTTTCTTTTGATTGAGGAGTTTGGAAACAGTCTTTTTGTAGAATCTTCTAAGGGATGTTTCTGAGTGGATTGAGGCCCACGGTGAAAAAGGAAATATCTTCACATAAAAAGTAGACAGAAACTTTATTAGGAACTTCCTTGTGATATGTGCATTCATCTCATAGAGTTGAACCATTCCTTTCATTGAGCAGTTTGGAAAATGTATTTTTCTAGAATCTGCAAAGGGATATTTCTGAGTGATTTGAGGCTTAAGGTGAATAAGGAAATATCTTCACATAAAAACTAGACAAAAGCTTCCTGAGAATCTCCTTTGTGATGTGTGCATTTATCTCACTGAGTTGAACCTTTCTTTTGATTGTGCAGTTTTCTAACAGTGTTTTTGTAGAATCTACTAAGGGATATTTCTGTGTGGTTTGAAGCCTATGGTGAAAAAGGAAATATCTTCCCATAAAAACATTCAGAAGCATTCTGAGAAACTTCTTTGAGATGTTTGTATTCAAATTACAGAGTTAAACTTTTGTTTTATTGAGCAGTGCAGGAACATTCTTTTTGTAGAATCTGCAAAGTGATATTTGGGGGCACTTTGAGGCCTCTGGTGAAAAAGGAAATATCTTCACGTAAAAACTAGACAGAAGCTTTCTGAGAATCTTCTTTGGAATGTGTGAATTCAACTCACAGTGCTGAACTTTACTTTTGATTGAGCAGTTTGGAAACAGTCTTTTTGTAGAAACTGCAGCAGAATATTTGGGATCCCTTTGAGGCCTATGGTGAAAAAGGAAATATCTTCACATAAAAACTAGACAGACGCTTTCTGAGGAACTTTTTTTGATGTGTACATTCATCTCACACAGTTGAATTTTTCTTTTCATTGAGCAGTTTGGAAACAGCCTTTTTGTAGAATCTGCAAAGGGATATTTGAGGGCGCTTTGAGACCTGTGTTGAAAAAGGGAATATCTTCACATAAAAACAAAACAGAAGCGTTCTGAGAAACTTCTTTGTGATGCGTGCATTCATCTCAAAGAGTTCAACATTTCTTTTGATTAAACAGTTTGGAAACAGTCTTTTTGTAGATTCTGCAAATGATATTTGGGATCCCTTTGTGTCCATGTTGAAAAATTGAATATCTTCACATAAAAACCAGACAGAAACATTCTGAGAAACTTCTTTGTGATGTGTGCATTCATCTCACAGAGTTCAAACTTTGTTTTCATTGAGGAGTTTGGAAACAGTCTTTTTGTAAAATTTGCAAAGGAATATTTCTGAGCTGTTTGAGGCCTGTGGTGAAAAAAGAAATATCTTCACATAAAAATTATACACAAGCTTTCTGAGAAACTTCTTTGTGATGTGTGAATTAATCAGACAGAGTTGAACTTTTCTTTTGATGGAGCAGTTTGGAAACAGTCTTTCTGTAGAATCTGCTAAGGTGTATTTTGGTATTCCTTTGAGGCTTATGGTGAAAAGGGAAATATCTTCACATAAAAACTAGACAGAAGCATTCTGAGAAACTTCTCTGTGATGTGTGCATTCATCTCACAGAGTTGAAACTTTCCATTGATTTTGCAGTTTGGAAACACTCTTTTTGAAGAATCTGCAAAAGTATACTTGTGAGCGGTTTCAGTTCTATGGTGAAAAAGGAAATATCTTCATATAAACACTAGACAGAAGCTTTCTGAGAAACTTTTTTGACATGTTTGCATTCATCTCACAGATTTGAACCTTTCTTTTGATTGAGCAGTTTGGAAACTGTCCTTCTGTAGAATCTGCAAAAGGATATTTCTGAGCCATTTGAAGCCTATGGTGAATAAAGAAATATCTTCACACAAAAACTAGACAGAAACTTTATAAGAATCTCTTTGTGATGTGTGCATTCATCTCACAGAGTTGATCCTTTATTTTGATTGAGCAGTTGGGAAACAGTCTTTTTCTAGAATCTTCAAAGTTATAATTCTGAGCTTTTTGAGACCTAAGGTGAAAAAGGGAATATCTTCACATAAAAACTAGACAGAAGTCTTCTGAAGAATTTATTTGTGATTTGTGCATTCTTCTCACAGGGTTGAACCTTTCTTTTTATTGAGCAGTTTGGAAACAGTCTTTTTGTAAAATCTGCAAAGGGATATTTCTGAGTGGTTTGAGGCCTGTGGTGAAAAAGTAAATATCTTCACATAAAAATTACACAGAATCTTTCTGAGAAACTTGTTTGTGATGTGTGCATTCATCTGACAGAGTTCAACTTTTCTTTTGATTGAGGAGTTTGGAAACAGACTCTTTGTAGAATCTGCAAAGGGATATTTGAGGGTGCTTTCAGCCCTATGGTGAAAAGGTAAACATCTTCACATAAAAACTAGACAGAAGCTTTCTGACAATCTTTTTTGTGATGCTTGAATTCATCTCACAGAGTTTACACTTTCTTTTGATTGAGCAGTTTGGAAACCATCTTTCTGTAGAATCTGCAAAGGTATATTTGGGAGCCCTTTGAGGCCTATGGTGAAAAGGGAAATATCTTCACATAAAAACTAGAGAGAAGCTTTCTGAGAAACTTCCTTGTGATGTGTGCATTCATCTATCAGAGTTGAACCATTCTTTGGATTGAAGAGTTAGGAAACAGTCTTTTTGTAAAATCTGCAAAGGGATATTTGGGAGTCCTTTTTGTCCTATGGTGAAAAGGGAAATATCTTCAAATAAAAACTATATGGAAACTTTCTGAGAAACTTCTTTGTGATGTGTGCATTCATCTGACAAAGTTGAATCTTTCTTTTGATTGTGGAGTTTGGAAACATTCTTCTTGTAGAATCTGCAAAGGGATATTTCAGGGCACTTTGAGACCTCTGGTGAAAAAGGAAATATCTTCACATAAACCCCTGAAAAAACCTTTCTGAGAAACTTCTTTGTGATGTGTGCATTCATCTCACAGAGTTGAAACTTTCTTTTGATTGAGCAGTTAGGAGACAGTCTTTTTGTACAATCTGGAAAGGGATATTTGGTATCCCTTTGAGGCCTATGGAGATAAAGGAAATATCTTCAAATAAAAACTAGACAGAAGCTTTCTCAGAAAGTTATTTCTGATGTGTGCATTCACCTCATAGAGTTGAATGATTCTTTTGATTGAGCTGTTTGGAAATCGTCTTTTTCTAGAAACTACAAAGGGATATTTGTGAGCGATTTGCAGCCTATGGTGAAAAACGAAATGTCTTCATTAAAAATTAGACATAAACTTTCTGAGAAACTTCCTTGTGATTTGTGCATTTATTTCATAGAGTTGAACCTTTCTTTTGATTGAGCAGTTTGGAAACAGTCTTTTTGTAGATTCTGGAAAGGGATATTTGTGAGGCCATTAAGGCCTATGGTGAAAAAGGAAATATCTTCACATAAAAACTAGACAGAATCTTTCTCAGAAACTTCTTTTTGATGTATGCATTCATCTCACCGAGTTAATACTTTCTTTTGATTCAGCAGTTTGGAAACAGTCCTTTTGTACAATCGGCAAAGGGATATCTGTGAGCATTTTGAGGCCTATGGTGAAAAAGGAAATATCTTCATATAACAATTAGACAAAAGCTTTCTGAGTAACTTCTTAGTGATGTCTGCATTCATCTCACAGTGTTAAACCTTTCTTTTGATTGAGAAGTTTGGAAACTGTCTTTTTATAGAATCTGGAAAGACATATTTGTGAGTGGTTTGAGGCTTATTGTGAAAAAGGAAATATCTTCACACAAAAACTAGACAGAAACTTTCTGAGAAACTTTTTTGTGATGTGAGCATTCAGCTCACAGAGTGGAAACTTTCTTTTGATTGACCAGTTTTCAAACATTCTTTTTGTAGAACCCTCAAAGGGATATTTTTGAGTGGTTTGTGGCCTCTGGTGAAAAAGGAAATATCTTCATATAAAAACAAGACATAAGCGTTCTGAGAAACTTCCTTGTGATGTGTGCATTCATCTCACACAGTTGAACCTTTCTTTTGAATGAACAGTTTGGAAACATTCTTTTTGTAGAATCTGCAAAGGGATATTTGTGAGGACTTTGAGGCCTATGGTGAAAAAGGAAATTTCTTCACATAAAAGCCAGACAATAAGCTTTCTGAGGAACTTCTTTGTGATGTGTACATTCATCTCAAAGAATGAAACTTTTGTTTCCATTGAGCAGTTTGGAAACAGACTTTTTATAGAAACTGCAAAGGGGTATTTGTGAGCAGTTTGAGGCCTATGGTGAAAAAGGAAGTACTTCATATAAAAATTAGGCAGAAGCTTTCTTAGAAATATCCTAGTGATGTGTGCATTCATTTCACGGAGTTGAAGCTTTCTTTTGATTGAGCAGTTTGGAAAGAGTCTTTTTGTAGAATCTGGAAAGGACAAATATTTTGTGAGACATTTGAGGCCTATGTTGAAAAAGGAAATATCTTCACGTAAAACCTAGACAGAAGCTTTCTGAGAAATTTCATTCTGATGTGTGCATTCAGCACACAGAGCTGAAACATTTTTTTGATTGAGAAATTTGGAAGGAGTCTTTTTCAACAAACTGCAAAGGGATATTTGTGAGCGAATTGAGGCCTATGGTGAAAAAGAAATATCTTCACAAAAAAACTAGATGGAAGGTTTCTGAGAAACTTCCATGTGATGTGTGCATTCAACTCACATATTTGAACCTTTGTTTTGATTGAGCAGTTTGGAAACAGTCTTTTTGTAGAAACTACAAAGGGATATTTGTGAGTGGTTTGTGGCCTATGTTGAAAAAGGAAATATCTTCATATGAAACCTAGATATAAACATTCTGAGAAACATCCTTGTGATGTGTGCATTCATCTCACACTGTTAAACCTTCCTTTTGATTGAGAAGTTTTGAAAATCTCTTTTTATAGAATCTCCCAATGGATATTTTTGAGGGCTTTGAGTCTTATGTTGAAAAAGTGAATATCTTCACATAAAAACAAGACAGAATCACTCTGAGAAACTTCTTTGTGATGTGTGCATTCATCTCACGGAGTTGAACTTTTCTTTTGATTGTGCAGTTTGGAAACCATCTTTTTTATTATCTGCAAAGGGATATTTGTGATGCCTTTGATGCCTATGGTGAAAAAGGAAATATCATCACATAAAAGCCAGACAGATGCTTTCTGACAAACTTCATTTTGATGTGTGCATTCACCTCATAGAGTTGAACCTTTTCTTGATTGAGCAGTTTGGAAAGAGTCTTTATGAAGAAACTGCAAGGGATGTTTGTGAGCAGTTTGAGTCCTATCGTGAAAAAGTAATACCTTCAAAAACAAAGTAGACAGAAGCATTCTGAGAAACTTCTTCATTATTTGTGCATTCATCTCACAGAGGTGAAAGTTTCTTTTGATTGAGCAGTTTGGAAACAGTCTTTTGTAGAAACTGCAAAGGGATATTTGTGGGGCCTTTGAAGCTTATGGTGAAAAAGCAAATATCTTCACATGAAAACTAGACAGAAGCTTTCTGAGAAACTTCTTTGTGATGTGTGCATTCATCTCACAGAGTTAAACTTTCTTTCGATTGAGCAATTTTGATACAGTCTTTTTGCAGAAACTGCAACGTTATATTTTTCAGTGGTTTGTGGTCTATGGTGAAAAAAGAAATGTCTTCATATAAAAACCAGACAGAAGCTTTCCAAGAAACTTCCTTGTGTTTTGTGCATTCATTTCAAATAGTTGAATCGTTCTTTTGATTGAGCAGTTTGGAAACAGTCTTTTTGTAAAATATGGAAAGGAATATTTTTGAGGCCTTTGAGGCCTATGGTGAATAAGGAAATAACTTCACATAAAAACTAGGAAGAAGCTTTCTGAGAAAGTTCTTTCTGATGTATGCATTTACTGCACAGAGCTGAAACTTTCTTAGGATTGAGAAGTTTTGAAACAGTCTTTTTATAGAAACTGCAAAGAGATATTTGTGAGCAGTTTGAGGTCTATGGTGAAAAAGAAATATCTTCACATAAATACAAGACAGAAGCTTTCTCAGAAACTTCATTGTGATGTGTGCATTCAACTCACAGAGTTAAAACTTTCTTTCAATTGAGCAGTTTGGAAACAGTCCTTTTGTAGAAATTACAATGGGATATTTGTGAGCCCCTTGAGTCTTATGGTGAAAAAGGAAATAACTTTATATAAATACTAGACATAAGCTCTCTGAGAAACTTCCTTGTGATGTGTGCATTCATCTCAGAGAATTGAATCTTTCTTTTGAATGAACAGTTTGGAAACGGTCTTTTTGTAGTATCTGCAAAGGGATATTTGTGAGCGGTTTGAGGACTATGGTGAAAAACGACATATCTTCACTTAAGAATTAGACAGAAGCTGCCTGAGAAACTGTTTTGTGATGTGTGCATTCTTCTCACAGAGTTGAAACTTTCTTTTGTTTGACCAGTTTGGAAACAGTCTTTTTGTAGAATCTGCAAAGGGATATTTTTGAGTACTTTCAGGCCTATAGTGAAAAAGGAAATGTCTTCACATAAAAACTAGACAGAAACTTTTTGATAAACTTCTTTGTGATGTGTGCATTCATGTCACAGAGTTGAAACTTTCCTTTGATTGAGCAGTTTGGAAACAGTCTTTTTGTAGAAACTGCAAGGGGACATTTGTGAGGCGTTTCAGACCTATGGTGAAAAAGGAAATATCTTCACATAAAAACTAGACAGAAGCTTTCTGAGTATCTTCTTTGTGATGTGTGCTTGCGTCTCACGGAGTTGAAACTTTCTTTTGATTGAACAGTTTGGAAACGGTCTTTTTGTAGAATCTGCAAAGGGATATTAGTGAGCACTTTCAGGCCTATGGTAAGGAAGGAAATCTCTTCACATTAAAACTTGACGGAAGCTTTCTGAGAAACTTCTTTGTGATGTGTGCATTCATCTCACAGATTTGAACTTTCTTTTGATTGAGCAGTTTGGAAGCAGTCTTTTTGTAGAATCTGAAAAGGGATATTTGTGAGCCCTTTGAGGCCTATGGTGAAAAAGGAAATATCTTCACAATCAAAACAGACAGAAGGTTTCTGAGAAACTGCTTTGTGATGTGTGCATTCATCTCATAGACGTAAGTGACTCTTTTCATTGAGTAGATTGGAAACTCTGTTCTTGTAGAATCTGCAAAGGGATATTTTTGAGTGCTTTGAGGCCTACAGTGAAAAAGGAAATATCTTCACATAAAAATAAGACAGAATCTTTTTGAGAAACTTCTTTGTGATGTGTACATTCATCTCATAGAGGTAAACGTCTCTTTCTGTTGAGCAGATTGGAAACTCTGTTCTTGTAGAATCTGGAAAGGGATATTTGTGAGTGCTTTGAGGGATACAGTGAAAAAGGAAATATCTTCACATGAAAATATGCCAAAATCTTTTTGAGAAACTTCTGTGTGACGTGTGCATTCATCTAACAGAGTTGAACCTTTCTTTTGATTGAACAGTTTGCAATCAGTCTTTTTGTAGAATCTGCAAAAGGTTATTCCTGAGTGCTTTGAGGCCTATGGTGAAAAAGGAGATATCTTCACATAAAAACTAGACAGAAACTTTCTGAGAAACTTCTTTGTCATGTGTGCATTCATCTCACGGAGTTGAACCTTCCTTTTGCTTGAGCCATTTGGAAACAGTCTTTTTGTAGAATCTTCAAAGGGATATTTGGGAGCACTTTAATTCCTATGGTGAAAGAGGAAATATCTTCACATAAAAACTAGAAAGAAGATTTGTGAGAAATTGCTTTGTGATATGTGCATTCATGTTACAGAGGTAAACGTTTCTTTTCATTAAGCATGTTGGAAACTCTGTTCTTCTACAGTCTGCAAAGGGATATTTGTGAGCACTTTGAGGCCCATGGTGGAAAAGGATACATCTTAACATAAAAACTAGACAGAAGCTTTCTGGTAACTTCTTTGTGATGTATGCATTCATTTCACTGAGGTAAATGTTTCTTTTCATTGAGCAGTTTGGAAACTCTGTTCTTGTAGAATCTGCAAAGGGATATTTGTGAGTGCTTTGAGGCCTATGGTGGAAAAGGAAATATCTTCACATAAAAACTAGACCGAAGCTTTCTGAGAAACTTCTTTGTCATGTGTGCATTCATCTTACATTTGTAGACCATTCCTTTGACTGACCAGTTTGGAAACAGTCTTTTTGTAGAATCTTCAAAGGGATATTTATTAGCACTTTGAGGCTTATGGTGAAAAAGGACAATCTTCACATAAAAACTAGAAAGAAACGTTATGAGAAACTGCTTTGTGACGTGTGGTTTCATCTGACAGAGTTGAACCATTCTTTGAGCAGTTTGGAAACAGTCTTTTTGTAGAATCTGCAAAGGGATATTTGGGAGAGCTTTGAGGACTATGGTGAAAAAGGAAATAGCTTCACATAAAAACTACAAAGAAGCATTGTGAAAAACTGTTTTGCAATGTGTGCATTCATCTCATGGGGTAAAAGTTCCTTTTCACTGAGTAGTTTAGAAACTCTGTTCTTCTGGAATCTGCAAAGGGGTATTTGTGAGTGCTTTGAGGCCTATGGTAAAAAAGGAAATATCTTCACATAGAAACTAGACCAAAGCTTTCTGAGAAACTTCTTTGTGTTCATGCATTCATCCTACTGAGTTGAGCCATTCTTTTGATTGAGTAGTTTTTTTTTCATTGTATTTTATTATTATCATACTTTAAGTTTTAGGGTGCATGTGCACAAAGTGCAAGTTTGTTACATACATATAAATGGGCAGTGTTGGTGTGCTGCACCCATTAACTCGTCATTTAACATTAGGTATATCTCCTAATGCTATCCCTCCACCCTCTCCCCACTCCACAACAGTCCCTGGTGTGTGATGTTCTCCTTCCTCTGCCCTTGTGTTCCCTTTGTTCAATTCCCACCTGTGGGTGAGAACATGCGGTGCTTGGTTTTTTGTCCTTGTGATAGTTTGCTGAGAATAATGGTTTCCAGCTGCATCCATGTCCCTACAATGGACATGAACTGATCATTTTTTATGGCTGCATGGTATTCTGTGGTGAATATGTGCCACATTTTCTTAATCCAGACTATCTTTGTTGGACATGTGGGTTTGGTCCAAGTCTTTGCTATTGTGAATAGTGTCACAATAAACATATGTGTGCATGTGTCTTTAAAGCAGCATGACTTGTAATCCTTTGGGTATATACCCAGTACTGGGATGGCTGGGTCAAATGGTATTTCTAGTTCTAGATCCCTGAGGAATCGCTGCTCTGATGTCCACAATGGCTGAACAAGTTTACAGTCCCACCAACAGTGTAAAAGTGTTCCTATTTCTCCACATCCTCTCCAGCACCTGTTGTTTCCTGACTTTTTAATGATCACCATTATAACTGGTGTGAGATGGTATCTCATTGTGGTTTTGAAATGCATTTCTCTGATGGCCAGTTATGATGAACATTTTTTCGTGTGTTTTTTGGCTGCATAAATGTCTTCTTTTGAGAAGTGTCTGTTCATATCCTTCACCTACTTTTTCATGGGGTTGTTTGCTTTTCTTGTAAATTTGAGTTCATTGCAGATTCTGGATATTAGCCCTTTGTCAGATAAGCAGGTTGCAAAATTTTTCTCCCATTCTGTAGGTTGCCTGTTCACTCTGATGGTAGTTTCTTTTGCTGTGCAGAAGCTGTTTAGTTTATCTAGATCCCATTTGTCAATTTTGGCTTCTGTTGCCATTGCTTTTGGTGTTTTAGACATCAAGTAATTGCCCATGCCTATGTCCTGAATGGCATTTCCTAGGTTTTCTTCTAGGATTTTTATGGTTTTAGGTCTAATATTTAAGTCTTTAATCCATCTTGAATTAATTTTTGTATAAGGTGTAAGGAAAGGATCCAGTTTCAGCTTTCTACACATGGCTAGACAGTTTTCCCAGCGCCATTTATTAAATAAGGAATCCTTTCCCCATTGCTTGTTTTTGTCAGGTTTGTCAAAGATCAGATAGTTGTAGATAAGCAGCATTATTTCTGAGGGCTCTGTTCTGTTCCATTGGTCTATATCTCTGTTTTGGTACCAGTACCATGTCGTTTTGCTTACTGTACCCTTATAGTATAGTTTGATGTCAGGTAGTGTGATGCCTCCAGCTTTGTTCTTTTGGCTTAGGATTGACTTGGTGATGTGGGCTCTTTTTTGGTTCCATATGAACTTTAAAGTAGTTTTTCCATTTCTGTGAAGAAAGTCATTGGTAGCTTCATAGGGATGGCATTGAATCTATAAATTACCTTGGGCAGTATGGCCATTTTCACGATATTGATTCTTCCTACCCATGAGCATGGAATGTTCTTCCATTTGTTTGTTTCCTCTTTTATTTCATTGAGCAGTGGTTTGTAGTTCTCCTTGAAGAGGTCTTCACATCCCTTGTAAGTTGGATTCCTAGGCATTTTATTCTCTTTGAAGCAATTGTGAATGTGAGTTCACTCATGATTTGGCTCTCTGTTTGTCTGTTATTCGTGTATAAGAATGCTTGTGATTTTTCTACATTGATTTTGTATACTGAGACTTTGCTGAAGTTGCTTATCAGCTTAAGGAGATTTTGGGCTGAGACAATGGGGTTTTCTAGATGTACAATCGTGTCATCTGCACACAGGGACAATTAGACTTCCTCTTTTCCTGATTGAATGCCCTTTATTTCCTTCTCCTGCCTGATGGCCCTGGCTAGAACTTCCAACACTATGTTGAATAGGAGTGGTAAGAGAGGGCATCCCTGTCTTTTGTCAGTTTTCAAAGGGAATGCTTCCACTTTTTGTCCATTCATTATCATATTGGCTGTGGGTTTGTCATAGATAGCTCTTATTATTTTGAGTTACGTCCCATCAATACCTAATGTTTTGAGAGTTTTTAGCATGAAGTGTTGTTGAATTTTGTCAACGGGCTTTTCGGCATCTATTGAGGTAATCATGTGGTTTTTGTCTCTGGTTCTGTTTCTATGCTGGATTACGTTTATTGATTTTCTTATGCTGAACCAGCCTTGCAACCCAGGGATGAAGCCTACTTGATCATGGTGGATAAGCTTTTTGATGTGCTCCTCGATTCAGTTTGCCAGTGTTTTATTGAGGATTTTTGAATCAATGTTCATCAAGGGTATTGGTCTAAAATTCTCTTTTTTTCTGTGCCTCCACCAGGCTTTGGTATCAGAATGATGTTGGCCTCATAAAATGAGTTAGAGAAGATTCTCTCTTATTTTATTGAATGTAATAGTTTCAGAAGGAATGGTACCAGCTCCTCCTTGTACCTCTGGTAGAATTCCACTTTGAGGCCATCTGGTTGTGGACGTTTTTTGGTTGATATGCTATTAATTATTGCCTCAAACTCAGAGCTTGTTAATGGCCTATTCAGAGATTCAACTTCTTCCTTCTTTAGAATTGGGAGGGTGTATGTGTCGAGGAGTTTATCCATTTCTTCTAGATTTTCTAGTTTATTTGCACAGAGGTGTTTATAGTGTTCTCTGATGGTAGTTTATATTTCTGTGGGATCAGTGGTGATATTCCCTTTGTCCATTTTTATTGCGTCTATTTGATTCTTCTCTTTTTTCTTCTTTATTAGTCTTGCTAGCAGTCTATCAATTTGTTGATCTTTTCAAAAAAAACAGCTCCTCGATTCATTGATTTTCTGAAGGGTTTTTTGTGTCTCTATTTCCTTCAGTTCTGCTCTGATTTTAGTTATTTCTTTCGTTCTGCTAGCTTTTGAATGTGTTTGCTCTTGCTTCTCTAGTTCTTTTAATTGTGATTTTAGGGTGTCAAATTTAGATATTTCCTTCTTTCTCTTGTGGGCATTTAGTGCTATAAATTTCCCTCCATATTCTTCTTTGAATGTGTCCCAGAGACTCTGGTATGTTGTGTCTTTGTTCTTGTTGATTTCAAAGAACATCTTTATTTCTGCCTTCATTTCGTTATGTACCCAGTAGTCATTCAGGAGCAGGTTGTTTTGTTTACATATAGTTAAGCGGTTTTGAGTGAGTTTCTTAATCCTGAGTTCTAGTTTGATTTCACTGTGGTCTGAGAGACAGTTTGTTATAATTTCTGTTCTTTTACATTTGCTGAGGAGAGCTTTACTTCCAACTATGTGCTCAATTTTGGAATAAGTGTGGTGTGGTGCTGAAAAAAATGTATATTCTGTTGATCTGGGGTGGAAAGTTCTGTAGATGTCTATTAGGTCTGCTTGGTGCAGAGGTGAGTTCAATTCCTGCATATCCTTGTTAACTTTCTGTCTCATTGATCTGTCAAGTGTTGACAGTGGGGTGTTAAAGTCTCCCATTGTTATTGTGTGGGAGTCTAAGTCTCTTTGTAGGTCACTCAGGACTTGCTTTATCAATCTGGGTGCTCCTGTATTGGGTGCTTATATATTTAGGATAGCCCTTCTTGTTGAATTGATCCCTTTACCATTATGTAATGGCCTTCTTTGTCTCTTTTGATCTTTGTTGGTTTAAAGTCTGTTTTATCAGAGACTAGGATTGCCACCCCTGCCTTTTTTTGTTTCCCATTTGCTTGGTAGATCTTCCTCCATCCCTTTATTTTGAGCCTATGTGTGTCTCTGCACATGAGATGGGTTTCCTGAATACAGCACACTGATGGGTCTTGACTCTTTATCCAATTTGCCAGTCTGTGTCTTCTAATTGGAGCACTTAGCCCATTTACATTTAAGGATAATATTGTTATGTGTGAATTTGATCCTGTCATTATGATGTTAGCTGGTTATTTTGCTCATTAGTTGATGCAGTTTCTTCTTAGCCATGATCGTCTTTACAACTCGGCATGTTTTTTCAGTAGCTGGTACTGGTTGTTCCTTTCCATGTTTAGTGCTTCCTTCAGGAGCTCTTTTAGGGCAGGCCTGGTGGTGACAAAATCTCTCAGCATTTGCTTCTCTGCAAAGTATTTTATTTCTCCTTCACTTATGAAGCTTAGTTTGGCTGGATATGGAATTCTGGGTTGAAAAATCTTTTCTTTAAGGATGGTGAATATTGGTCCCCACTCTCTTCTGGCTTGTAGAGTTTCTGCCAAGAGATCAGCTCTTACTCTGATGGGCTTCCCTTTGTGGGTAACTCGACCTTTCTCTCTGGCTGCCCTTAACATTTTTTCCTTCATTTCAACTTTGGTGAATCTGACAATTTTGTGTCTTGGAGTTGCTCTTCTTGAGGAGTATCTTTGTGACGTTCTCTGTATTTTCTGAATGTGAATGTTGGCCTGTCTTGCTAGATTGGGGAAGTTCTCCTGGATAATATCCTGCAGAGTGTTTTCCAACTTGGTTCCATTCTCCCCATCACTTTCTGGTACACCAATCAGACGTAGATTTGGTCTTTCCACATAGTCCCATATTTCTTAGAGGCTTTGTTCATTTCTTTTTATTTTTTCTCTAAACTTTTCTTCTCACTTCATTTCATTCGTTTTATCTTCCATCACTGATACCCTTTCTTCCAGTTGATCACATCAGCTCCTGAGGCTTCTGCATTCATCATATAGCTCTTGTCCCTTGGTTTTCAGCTCCTTCAAGTCCTTTAAGGGCTTCTCTGCATTGGTTATTTTAGTTATCCATTATCTAATTTTTTTTCAAAGCTTTTAACGTCTTTGCCACTGGTTCGAATTTCCTCCTGTAGCTCGGAATTCTTTGATATTCTGAAGCCTTCTTCTGTCAACTTGTCAAAGTCATTCTCCATCCAGCTTTGTTCCATTGCTGGTGAGGAGCTGCATTCCTTTGTAGGAGGAGAGGCACTCTGATTTTTAGAGTTTCCAGTTTTTCTTCTCTGTTTCTTTCCCATCTTTCTGGTTTTATCTACCTTTGGTCTTTGACGATGGTGACATACACATGGGTTTTTGATGCAGATGTCCTTTCTGTTTGTTAGTTTTCCTTCTAACAGACAGGACCCTCAGCCCAGGTCTGTTGGAGTTCGCTAGAGGACCACTCCAGACCCTGTTTTCCTGGGTATCAGCAGTGGTGGCTGCAGAACAGCAGATATTGGTGAACTGCAAATGCTGCTGTCTGATCATTCCTCTGGAAGTTTTGTCTGAGGGGAGTACCCAGCAGTGTGAGGTGTCAGTCCACCCCTACTGGGGGTGCCTCCCAGTTAGGCTACTCGGGGTTCAGTACCCACTTGAGGAGGCAGTCTGCCCGTTTTCAGATCTCAAACTGCATGCTGGGACAACCACTACTCTCTTCAAAGCTGTCAGAGAGGGACATTTAAGTCTGCAGAGGTTACTGCTGTCTTTTTGTTTATCTGTGCCCTGCACCCAGAGGTGGAGCCTACAGAGGCAGGCAGGCCTCCTTGAGCTGTGATGGGCTCCATCCAGTTTGAGCTTCCTGGCCACTTTGTTTACCTAATCAAACAACTAACTCAGCAATGGTGGGCGCCCCACCCCCAGCCTCACTGCTGCCTTGCAGTTGGATCTCTGACTGCTGTGCTTGCAAAGAGCAAGACTCTGTGGGTGTAGGTTCCTCTGAGCAAGTTGCAAGATATAATCTCCTGGTGTGCCATTTTTTAAGCCAGTTGGAAAAGCGCAGTATTAGGGTGGGAGTGACCTGATTTTCAGGTGCCATCTGTCACCCCTTTCTTTGACTAGGAAAGGGAATTCCCTGACCTCTTGTGCTTCCCAGCTGAGGTGATTCCTTACCCTGCATTGGCTCACACACAGTGCACTGCACCCCGTGTCCTGCACCTACTGTCTGGCACTCCCCAGTGAGATGAACCTGGTACTTCAGTTGGAAATGCAGAAATCACATGTCTTCTGCATTGCTCATGCTTGGAGCTGTAGACCGGAGCTGTTCCTATTCAGCCAACTTAGCTCCTCCCAAAGAAGTTTCTAAGAATGCTTCTGTCTTGTTTTTATGTGAAGATATTACCTTTTCCACCATAGGCCTCAGGGTGCTAAAAAATATCCCTTTGCAGACTCTACAAGAACAGAGTTTCCAGACAGAACAAAAAAAGGAACTTTTCACTCTGTGAGATCAATGCACACATCACATAGTAGTTTCTCAGAAACCTTCTTTATAGTTTATAGGTGAAGATATTTTCTTTATCACCATAGGCCTCAAAGCACTCACAAATATCCCATGGCAGATTTTACAAAAAACGGTTTCCAACTTGCTCAATAAAAAGTATGGTTCAACTGTGTGCAATGAAATCACTCATCATGTAGAAGTTTCTCAGAAAGCTTCTGTCTAGTTTTTATGAGAAGATATTTCCTTTTGCACCATAGGCCTCAAACCACTCACAAATATCCCTTTGCAGTTTCTACGAGAAAGGAGTTCCCAATCTGCTCAATGAAAAGAAACATTTACCTCTGTGAAATGAATGCACACATCACAAAGCAGTATCTCAGAAACCTGTCTAGATTTTATGTGATGATATATCCTTTTTCTCCGTAGTCCTCAAATCTCTCCCAAATGTCCCCTTTCAGATTCTACAAAAGACTGTTCCCAAACTGCTCAATCAAAAGAATGGCTTAACTGTGAGATGAAAGCACATATCACAAAGCAGTTTCTCAGAATGCTTCTGTGTAATTTTATGTGAAGATAATTCCTTTTTGATTCCTCACAAATATCCCTTTGTGGATTCTAGAAGAACAGAGTTTCCAAATTGCTCAATGAAAAGAAAGGTTTACCTCTTTGAAATGAATGCACACAGCACAGAGAAGTTCTCAGAAATCTTCTGTCTAGTTTTTATGTTAAAATGTATCCTTTTTAACCATGGGCTTCAAAGCGCTCACAAATATCCCTTTGCAGATTCTAGAAGAACAGAGTTTCCAACCTGCTCAATGAAAAGAAACGTTTACCTCTGTGACATGAAAGCACACATCACAAAGCCGTTTCTCACAAAGCTTCTTTCTAGTCTTTATGTGAAGATATTTCCTTTTTCAACATAGGAATCAAAGCATTGCCAAATATCCCTTTGAAGATTCTACAAAAAGACTGTTTACAAATGGCTCAAGAAAAGGAAAGTTGCACTCTGACATGAATGCTCACATCACGAAGAAGTTCCTCACAAATATTCTATTTTTTATGTGAGGATATTTCCTTTTTCACCATAGGCCTCAAAGTGCTCAGAAATATCCCTTTGCAGATGCTACAAAAAGACGGTTTCCAAAGTGCTCAATCAAAAGAAAGGTTCAAATCTGTGAGATGAATGCACACATCACAAAGAAGTTTCTCAAAAAGATTCTGTCTTATTTTTATGTGAAGATATTTCCTTTTTCACCATAGGCCTCAAAGTGCTCACAAATATCCCTTTGCAGATTCTACAAGAACAGAGTTTCCAATCTGCTCAATGAAAAGAAACGTTTACATCTATGAGATGAATGCACACATCACAAAGCAGTTTCTCAGAAACCTTCTTTCTAGTTTCTATGTGAAGATATTTGCTTTTTCACC